>NT_187528.1:0-110099 GCF_000001405.40 Homo sapiens | reverse complement strand
ATAGCTTCACTAGTGAATTCTATTAAACACTTAACGAATAACCAATCCTTCACAAACACTTGCAAAGCAGAGAAGCAGGAAAACATCAATTCATTTTTGAGGCCAGAATTACCCAGATAACAAATCAGACAAAAGCATCACAAGAAAATAAATAAATAAAAATAAAATAAATCCCTCATGAATGAAGGCAGAAATCTCCAAAAACTCTAGCAAACTGGAGGAAGCAACACATAAAAATGTTAGACAAGCCTGGCATGGCGGTGCACACCTGTAGTCCCAGCTACTTAGGAGGCTGAGGTGGCAGGAACACTTGAGCCCAGGAGTTTGAAGTTATAGTTAGCTGTGACTGTGCCACTCCACCCCAACCTGGGGGACAGAGTGAGGCCTCACCACTAATAAAAATTAAAGAAAATTAGAAAAAAGTTAGACAATTAACCAAGTGGAATTACCCTACAAATACAAATTTAAAAATCAATCAGTGTAATACACCATATTAATAGAATAAAGGAAAAGACCATGAGGATTTCAATGGACATCTGACAATGTCTGACACTCATTCCTGATGAGTCTTCCAGAAATCTAGCAATAGAAATAACTTCCTGAACCTCCTAAAGGACATCCATGAAAATTTAATAAATTCCACTAGGGTATATTGAAAGGCATATTGATACTTCCAACTTTATGGTTTTAAAAATTAACAATGAAATAAGAACTAATAACAGTAATCTATCCATCTGGAAAACATTAAACACCTTTCTAACAATATTTCCTTTGATGTGATAAAGGTAAAAATCCAAATTTAATAACAGGAGTGCTTTTGAGAAGACTGAAATTTGATGTTCCTAATTTTTCTGACTTATTAGCAATTAGAATCTAATTATCAATAATGCCAAGAAGACAGGAGTATTCTCCAATGACATTAGAATGTATAACATAAAGATTTATAGTTCGGCATAATGTATAACACAAAGATTCATTGTTTGGCATAACAGCATTTCATATTTGAATCATTTAATAACATTTTCATCATTGCGTATTCTCCTGGAAATAACACACAATACAGACTTCAAAAAACCAGAGCTTTTGCTGGGGATATGTGCTCCTTCCAAAGGCAATTGATTGTGTGCAATATTCTGAGAATTAATTCCTCCAAAGGTAAAGTGTGGCTCTCTGGGCTTCTGGTAATATCCTGAAAATTCACATATTCAAAAAGTCTTTTCCACTACAAACCACCATAAATGCTGGACAACAGAATATCTGCTCAACTGCCCAAATTATACTTTGGGGCTTTTGTACACAGTTTTTGCACAGAAATATTTAAGTGAATATAAATTAATTGAAATGTTTTCCAGGTGGATATTGAGGGAGAAACAGAAAAATCCAAGACAATCCCCTGTGGAAGAAAATTCTCCAACCCAAATCTCAACCGAACTCACAGCGCTGAACAGCGCATCAATTAAGACCTGTCAAATATAATCACACTATCTAATAGTTTTAAATATGCAAAATAAAGAGCACCAAAGTCAATGTAATTCAGAAATAACAACAACAAAACCAGAGCACCCCGATGCAATTAGGCCACAAGGAATTCCAAAGTAGTGTATTAGGTATAGAAAATATATATGTAATTAGAAATGTTTACAGAGATTAGAGAGATTTTTTAAAAAAAGATTTGGCCTCTAAGACAGTTAACAATTCCAGTAAAGAAGAAAAGAGAAATTCAATGTTTGATATACATACATAAAAATAAATTTCAGGAAAATGAAAAGTCCATGTGATGACAGAATCCAAATTATATAAAAGATAGAAATCTCAATATTTGTTTTTACACATTTTAAGGAAAAAACAACCCCGAAAGCATAAAATGCAGAAAATAATGTTAATAATTCTTGAGTTTTCAAGTCCCTCTCACTGACTTTGGCACTTAGAGAACAGCCAGCACAGGCTCAGGATCACCTAATGGTCATTTCTGCCAAGGAGACCAAACTCATGAAAATGGAGCAGAAAGCTATGCGCACAAGATGGATGGATGCTCCTCTCCCAGAGACCAGCAGGTTCAGGTGTAGAGGGAGTGGGCCAGGGAGGGGCTGTGAGCACCAACCTGGGAGGGGTGGCTAGACTTCCATAGGACCCTCCTGTCCGCAGGTTTAAAATTAGGCACATAGACCAATGGAACAGAAGAGAGAACCCAGAAATTAACCCAAATACTTACAGCCAACTGATCTTCGACAAAGTAAACAAAAACATAAAGTGGGGAAAGGGCACCCTTTTCAACACACGATGTTGGGATAATTGGCGAGCCACATGTAGGGGAATAAAACTGGATTCTCATCTCTCACCTTATACAAAAATCTACTCAAGATGGATTAAGAACTTAAACCTAATTCCTGAACTATAAAAATTCTAGAATATAACACTGGATAAACCCTTCTAGACATTGGCATAGGCAAGGATTTCATGACCAAGAACCCAAATGCAAATGCAATAAAAACAAAGATAAATAGCTGGGACTCATTTAAACTAAAGAGCGAGCTTTTGCATTGCAAAGGGAACAGTCAGCAGAGTAAATAGGCAACCCACAGAGTGGGACCCCTGACCCTGACCCCGACCCCTAACCACTGACCCTGACCCCTAACCCCTGACCCTAACCCCTAACCCTTAACCCTAACTGCTAACCCTAACCCCAACCCTCACCCTAACCCAACCCTAACCCCTAATCCCTAACCCCTAACCTCTCTTAACCCCAAACTCTAAACGTTGACTCCTAACCCCTAACTCTGACCCCAACCCCTATCTCCAACCCCTAACCCTAAACTTAACCCCTAACCCTAACACCAACCTTAACCCTAGGTTCGTTACTACGTTTGTATTGACTATGTCAATGTTGATTATTATGATCGCTGTCTTAGGACTGCACGGCAGCGAGGGGATTGCGGATCTTATATTAATATTTTTGTATTGAGGCAGTGCATTAGCATTACAGGTGCTTGTTACATGAGCAATGGGGGTGTCATGTCTGCATTAGGAATGCTGCATTTGTCTTCCTAGGCTGCGGTGTGTATCTCGCACTGCGGCCGCCTCGCCTTGGCTGGGGAGAACTTCGGTGGGCAGGATTCAGAGGGGCTTTTGGTTTCCCGTTTTCCACACTGAACCCTTCTAACTGGTCTCTGACCCTGATTATTCAGGGCTGCAAACAGGAAGGATTTTATTCACCGTCGATGCGGCCCCGAGTTGTCCCAAAGCGAGACAGTGCCCCCCAAGGTCTGTGCTGAGGAGAACCCTGCTCTGCCTTCGCGGTGTCCCCGGAGTCTGTGCTGAGCAGAACGCAGCTCCGCCCTCGCGGTGCCCCCGACCCGCCCAGGTCTGTGCTGAGAAGAACATTGCTCCGCCTTCACTGTATCTCCAAAGTCTGTGCTGAGGAGAACGCAGCTCCGCCCTCGCAAAGGCCCCCCAGCGCCGGCGCAGGCGCGGAGAGGCGCACCCGAACCCGAATCCTAACCCTAACGCCGTCCTAACAGCCCTGGGGAGACCTTAGGGAACAAGCATTAAACTGACACTCGAGTCTGTAGCCGGCTGTGCCAAAAGACTTGAGGTTGGGGTGATATGGGAGCAGGGGTCGGGGAAGAAAGCGTTCTGGTTTTAGACCCACAGGAAGATCTGTGAAGCGCTCTTGGGTAGAGCACATGTTGCCGGGCGTGCCCTTGAAAACAGCCTAAGAAGAGGGGGCGTCTGGAAGGAACGGCAACGCCACGGGAGGGTGTCCAGCCTTCCCGCTTCAACACCTGGACACATTCCGGAAAGTTTCCTAAGAAAGCCAGAAAAATAATAAAAAATAATAATCCAGAGGCCAGGGGGCGCTAATGGGGCTTTACTGGGACTATCTGGCTTAATCCTCCAAACAACCCTGCCACAGCAGCCCATCAGTCCTCTGAGACAGGTGAGGAACCTGAGGTCGCAGGAGGACACCCAGAAGGTCCAGGCAGAGCCCCCTAGGCCCCCACACCTCCCCCCGTGGCAGCTCCAACCCCAGCTTTTTCACTAGTAAGGCACTCCAGCTGCAGGTCCACGCCCGCTCCCCCAAGCGGGGAAGGCGCTTCGCGCTGCCGCCGGCTGGGGACTGGGCACCGCCCTCCCGCGGCTCCGGAGCCGGCTGCCACCAGGGGGCGCGCCCGCGGTGTCCGGGAGCCTGGCGGCGCGTCTGCAGCTGCCAGTGCACCTGCTCCTGCTCTCACCGCTGTCTCTGCCAGGACCCCGACGCCCAGCCGGACCCTGCCCTCCAGCGGGGCTGCGGCTCCACGGCCTGCGACAGCAGCCCCACCCCGCATTCGGCGCGCTCCCGGGGGCAGAGGTCGCGGTGTCCTCAGGCTGTGGCGCCGGCCTGCAACCCCCACGCCGGGCTCGGGCCCCCCGGCGGAGGAGGGCGATGCTCCCTGGGTAGGGCGACCTGTCACCTGGGCTGGGAGGGCGGCTTAGGGGCGGAAGCGGCGGTCCAGGGCCGCCTGGTGCAGCAGCCTGTCTCAGCCGCGGTCCCTCCAGTCCCTCCCTGGCGGCTGCGGAGCCGTCCGAGGACAGGGGCCATAAACTCTCCAGAGCGGGAAGCCGCACGCTGGTGGCCCGGCCCCGCGCACAGACCTGGCGGCAGCTGGCACCTGACCCGCTGCATGGGTCTCCAGGGAGCTCGCTGCCCACCCGGCGCTGCAGCCTCGGCTCCCTCGTACGCGCTCTGGTAGGTGCTAGGGACGACCCTATGGGCCAGCTTGCCATGCCAAGTCCCCAGGCCGCACCCACCGTGGCTCCGTGGGCTAGGGGACTGGCTCCTCCTGTGGGTCGTGGGGCTGGGAGGCAGGGACTTTAGGGGAGAGGGAGGGACCGAGGGCAGCCCCTGCTGTGTGCGCAGCGAGGTCGTGCACAGGCCTCTGTTGCAGAGCGTGCAGCTTCAGCTGGCACTGGATTGCAGGTGGAGATGACTGTGTGTGCGCACACCTGGGGGTGAAGAGGACGCAGCCTGTCTACCTGACCCATGAAATGGAGGAGACTGTACCCCAGAAGCAGCGGGTTCACTGCTCCATTGATTAAGCAAGTCTGGGACACACATGTAGCTAAGCTGTGACTTCTGTGCCAGCGGTCCCAACACCCACGCCTTCAGGAAGACACATGTGTGAGGGGTTGCATGTTTGTCAGGCCTGAGAGTGGAGAGCAGGGGCCAGAGACACTAGGTAGGGGGAACCCACCCTAGGGCTCTGAGGGACGACGATGTGGGAAGCTGGTGGCAGAGACTGAGCTGGCCCAATGTTGCAGGGTGGGGACAGAATAGAGGTCCACCACACCCTAGGTGGACAGCTGAAACTGAGTAGACATCAGGCCCCAGATCGACATCTGGCCCCAGGTAGATTCCTAGGCCCAAGGTGAATACTCAGTCTCCAGCCCTAGGGGAATTCAGTCTTAGTTGATTAAGGACTGGTGTTCCTCTGGGGCCTCATGTCTACCTGGGCCCTGGGAGTGCATATGGAGCCAGATGTCTATAAAGGGCCTGAGTGTCCACTAGGGCCTGAGGTTCACCAGGAGCATAGACATCCACCTAGGACCTCGTGTCCACCTAAAACCTGGTGTTCACCTGGGACCTGGGTGACAACCTGGGATCTGATGTTCACCTGAGGCCCAGAGTTCAGCTGGTGCCTATGTCAGCCTGGCACCTGATGCACACAAGAGGACTAGGTGCCCACCTGAGGACTGGTGTTCATGGGGAATTGGTGTTCAGCAGTGGCTTGATGACCAACTGGGTCCTGGTGTCCTCCTGGCACCTGGTGTCCACCTGGGACTGCATGCTTACCTAGGGCCTGGTGTTCCCCTGGGGCCTGGTGTGCCCCTGAGACCTGGGGTCCACCTGGGCCTAGTATCCACTTGGGGCCTCATATCCATCTGGAACATCATGTCCACCTGGGGCCTTGTAGTTACCTAGGGACTGGGTGTCCTTCTGGCACTTGAGTGTCCTCCTGGGGCCTGGGGTTCTCCTGGGGCCTGGGTGTACATCTCTGGCCTGATGTCCACCTTGGGATGGATGTCCCCCTGGGGACAGATGTTCACTTGTGGCCTGAGTGTCCATTTCGTGTCTAATGTCTACCTGGGGCCTGGTGTTTGCCTGAGGCCTTATATCCACCTGGGGCCTGGGCATCCATTTGAGGCCTGATGTCTACCTAAGACCCAGTGTTTAATTGGGGCACAGACTTCTTCCTGGAGCCCAACATTCATCTAGAGCCTGAAGTTCACCTATGCCTGTTGTCTACCTGAGGCCTATGTGTCAACCTAGGGCCTGATGACCACCCTGAGTTCAGTGTTCACCTGGGGCCTGACATCTTCCTGGAGTCTGGATGTCCACATAGGGCCTGATGTTGGCTTGGGACCAAAGTATTTACCTAGGGCCTGGGTGTCTACTTACAGCCTGACTTCTACATGGTTCATTGTGTCAACCTGGGACCTGATGTCCACATAGGGCCTAGGTAAGCTCCTTATGACTAAAGTCCACATGGGGGCTGAAACCATCTCAGACCTTGTGTTAACCTAGGGCTTGGTGTCCACCTGAGGCCTGCCTGGGACCTGGTGACCCCCTGGGGTCAAGGTATCCATCCACCTTGGGCCTGATGACCAATTGGGACTTAAGGATCTACCGAGAGACTGGTGTCAACCTGGAACCTGATGTCCACTTGGGGTCTGGTGTACACCTTGGGCCTGATGCCCACCTGGGCACGGGTGTACACTTTGGGCCTAGTGTGCACCTGAAGCCTGGGGGTCAACCTGGGTCTTGATGCGCACCTTTAGTCAAGTGTTTAACTGGGGCCTGATGAAATACTGGAGCCTGATTTACAGCTGTGTACTGGGTCTCCTCCACCTGGGGCCTGATGTCCACCTGCAGCCAGATATCCACCTGGCATCAGATGTCTACGAGGAATCTGGGTGTCCACCTTGAAAATGATGTATTCCAAGAGACTAGGCATGCACATTGGGCCTGGGGTCCACCTGGGTCCTGATGTCTACCTGAGGCTGGTATTGAACTGGGGCCTGTGTGTTCACTTGGAGCCTGATGTCCATTTGGAAACTGGTGTTCACCTAGGACATGGGTATCCACCTGGATCCTGATTTTCAGGTGGGGAGTGGCTATAGACATGGGAACTGATGGCCACCTATGCTATAAGTAACCCAACCACCTGGGGCCTGGTGTTCACCTGCGGCCTGATATCCACCTGGTACCTGTGTGTCAATCTAGTGCCTGGTGTCCACTTGAGGACTAGGCAGACACCTGGGGCCTGGTGTTCATCTTGCACCCAGTGTCCACCTGGACCCTGTGTATCAACCTGTGGCCTAGGTGGCCACTGTAGCTTTATGTGCACCTGGGGCCTGAGAGTTTCCTAGGATCTGATGACCACTGGGGCCCAGGTATCCACCTGGGATATCAGGCTTCAAGTGTACGCCCAGGCTCCACATGGACACCAGGCCAGGAGAACGCCAGCCCTTATCTGAGCATCAGGTCCTAGATGGATGCCCAGGCCCCATATGTACATCAGGCCCCGGGTATACACTGGACTCCAGGTGGACACCAGCACTCAGTTGGATACACACACTCAAGGTGGACACCAGGCCCCACGTGAATTCCTACACTCCAGGTAAACATCAGGTCCCAAGTGGATACCTGGACCCCAGGTGGATACCAGTCTCTAAATTAATACCAGGCCTCAGATGGTCCTTAGGAGCCATGTGTGCATTAGTCATCAGGAAGTTACCTAGGCCCAAAGTGGACATCAGGCCCCATGTTGACACAAGATCTAGTTGGAAGTCAGGCCCCAGGTGGACACCCAGGCCCTAGGTAAATACTTAGGTCCCAAGTTGATGGCAGGCCCTATGTGAACACTCAGAACTCAGGTGGACATGAGGCCTCAGGTGGACATCCGAGTTCATCTGGAACCTCGTGTTACAGGCCCCATGTAAACACCAGGCCTTAGGTGGATACCCAATCTCTAGGTGGACATCAGAGCTCAGATTGACACAAAGACCCCAGTAGACATAATGTACCAATGAATATCCAGGCCCCTTGTTAATACCCCGGCCCCAAATTGACACCAGGGTCTATGTGGACACACAGGCCCCAGTTAGAAAACAGGCCCAAGGTGGACACTGGACTGGACATCAGGTCCTAGGTTGACAACCATGCTTCAAGTTGACACCAGACCCCAAGTGAACATCTGGCCCCAGCTGGACACTCGTCCCCTGATGAATACCTAGGCTCAAGGTTGACATCAGGCCCCATGTGAACACTAGACCCCAGATAAACACTTATGCCCTAAGTAGACATCAAGCCTCAGGTGGTTACCCGGTCCCAAGGTGAACATCAGGACCCCGATGGGCATCAGTTATCAAGTGGATTCTTAGGCCCCAGGTGAATATCAAGCCCTAGGTGGATACCAGGCCCCAGGTGGATACCAGGATCCTGGTAGACATCAGGTCCCAAGAGGACACTAGAACCCAGGAGTACATTAAGCCACATTAGCATGAAGGCCCCAGATGAATACCAGGCCAACTTGTGGACATCAGGCCCTAGGTGGACACGGGGCCACAGGTGGACATCTAGCCCCTGGGCGACATCCAGCTCCAGGTGGACATAAAGGTTTCCATGGATAAACCATTCCCAGGTGGATATCAGGCCTCAAGAGGATGGCAGTCACCAGGTAGACATCCGGCCTCAGATAGACACCAAGGTCCCAGATGTACAGCAGGCCCCAACCGAACCCCAGACTCATGTGGACATCAGGCCACAGGTAGACACCAAGCCTTAGGTAGATAAATAACTTCAGGTAGACATCAGACCCAAGGTGGACACCCAGTCCCCAGGTGGACAATCAGGCCCCAGGCACACATCAGGCCTTAAGTGGACACCCAGGCCCCAGGTTGATATCCAGCTCCCAGGTGATCACCAAGCCCCAGGTAGACACCAGGCCATAGGTGAGCAACAGGATGCAGTAGGTCATCAGGCCACAGCTGGATACCAGTCCCTGGTGAACATAAGGTCCCAGTGGGACATAGACCTAAGGCAGACATCAGGCCCCAGGTGGACATACAGGCCTGAGGTGGAATTCACCCTGAGGGGGACATTGGGCCCCAGGTACACATCAGGCCTCAGGTGAGTAACCAGTCCCCAGGTGGACATTAGCCCGCAGGTCAACCACAGTCCCCAGGTTGATACCTGGTCCCCAGGTGGCTACCCAATCTGCAGGGTAACATTAGGCCCCTGTAGGATCACAGGCTGCAAGTGGATTCCTAGGTCTCTGGTGAACATCAGGTGCAGGTGTCCAAGCAGGCCCTGGGTGGACATAACTGTGTACAGGTAAGGAGTTGACCTGTGGGGAGGGTTAGCAGTCAGCAGCCCACTGGGGTCCTGAGAAGGTTTTCTGGAAGGAGGAGGCCGAGGGGATGGAAACTTAAAGAAGCGACCTCACTTCCTTGGCAACAGACCCTAACAGAACTTAGAATTCTGGTAACCAGGCCAGGCACGGTGGCTCACACCTGTAATCCCAGCACTTTGGGAGGCCAAGGCAGGAGGATCATGAAATCAGGAGATCGAGACCAGCTTGACCAACATGGTAAAACCACATGTCTACTAAAAATACAAAAAACAAACAAACACAAAAAACCTTGCCAGGTGTGGTGGTGCGTGTCTTGTGCCTGTAATCCCAGCTACTCAGGAGACGGAGGCAGGATAATTGATTGAACCCAGTAGGTGGATGTTGCAGTGAGCCGAGATCATGCCACTGCACTCCAGCCTGGCCAACAGAATGAGACTATGTCTCAAAAAAAAAAAGAATCCCGATAACCGGGCACCCACATCCTAGCATTAGCCCCATAGCCAGCTCACTTGGTGGGAGACGCTCAAGAGAGCAAGATGTTCTTGTGCTGCATCCCCACATCTCAAGGCTCCTGCTTCAGGAATGGCAGGAGTGAGAGCCTTTCTTTGCTGATGACGCCCTTGTAGGCTCATCCCTCACCCCAGATGCCTCTGGCCATTTGGCAGAAGCCCCCCCCCAGGTACCACAGGACAGGAGTCACCAGGTAGACATCAGGCCCCAGATGGAGCTACCAGGCCAGGCCTCACCAGTGATCCCACCAGGGCCACATCTGCACATTGTCCTTGTCCAGCTGGAGCCTCTGGAGCTCATTGAGACACAGGCACATGCTGAGGTCACCTGCAGTCTGGAAGTCTTTCCAGGGACAATGTTTTCAGGCTGAAATTCCTTTAAATTCAATGAGGTTGTTTTCATGTTTGGAAATTCCAGTGGAAAGTGAGTGGTATTGGTGACCTCTCTCCTTTTTCAGCTCCTGCTTCAGGTGCAGAAATACAGCGATTTCCAGTGCCAGCTGTTGAGCCAGTGCCAGCACCAGGGGCAGATTCCCCTCCAGGGACAGCGCTGGAGCTAGAGGAAGCTCCAGAGCCCTCCTGCCGCTGCCCTGGGACTGCTCAGGACCAGCCCAGTGAGGAGCTGCCTGACTTCATGGCACCTCCTGTAGAGCCACCGGCCTCAGCCCTGGAGCTGAAAGTGTGGCTGGAGCTAGAGGTGGCAGAGAGGGGTGGCCAGCACAGCTCCAGCCAGCAGCTCCCACACTGCTCCCAGTCCTGGGCACAGTGGAAGCTATGGAGGCAGAGACCAGGGTTTGCAATCTGGGCTCCTCTGCCTCACTGGAGAGGGACTTCTCTCATTCAGCAGAGCAGCAGCCCTGCTGCTGAAGGGCCTGCTGCTACTGCTGCTGGGGCTGTTTGCCTGCCTGCAGGAGGTGCTGGAGAGCAAGAAAAGGAGCCTGTGAGCAGGGGTTCCAGCAGGTCCTCCTGCTCCCAGAGGCGACCTCCTCCTCCAGGCATGGAGGTTTGCCCTCAGCTGGGCATCTGGGCCATTTGCCCCTAATGTGCTGCCCAGGATGGCCTCTTCTTGACAGGCGGACAGGGGGTGAGGGGGCCAGGGGGCATCTCCAAAGGAAGCTTTTAAACTCAGCAGCTGCACCCCAGAATCTGTATGCCTGCACCTGCCCAAGGATTTATTCATAGCTTACCTAAGAATTTCAAATTTCTACCATAACACTGAAATGAAGTTTGACTTTTTGAAACTTCCATGGCTTCTTTCACTCCCTAATATTGTAGATGGTGTTTTTGAGGCGATGTTGAAAACCTCTGATAGTTGTGTGTTTTGTTGTGGTTCTTTCTGTGATTAAATTACCATATGATCAAGTGATATTGAAAACCCTTCAGGTATGGCTTTTAGAAGACTTTGACCTATTTTTGCTTGTGTTGACTCTCCCTTCAGCCTTGTGGAAAGAGGGATCATGTAGGTTTCATTTCTCAGGCAGATCAGTCACTTTTTGCCATCAAAGTTTTAGCATCCATTTCCAAAATTTGGTGTACAAGTTGATATTTTGGTGTTTTCAGCTAATCTTGGGTCAAAACAGAATGCCATAGATGAGGAAGCTTATAAACAAATTTGTTTCTCTCAGTTCTGGAGATAGCAAAATTCAAGGTCAAGTGGTTAGCAGATTGCAGGTCTGGTGTGGGCTTGCTTTGTGGTTCATAGACAGCCATGTTTCTACCATGTCCTCACATGACAGAAGGGATGAGGGAGCTCTCTATGGTGCCTTCAATAGGGGCTACTAATCCCACTCATGTGGTCCCTGCCTTCATGATCTAATCATTCTCTAAGGCCCTACCTCCAAATATCATCACATAGGGAATTAGATTTCAACACTTGAATTTGAGGGGACAATAACATTTGGTCTATAGCATCAGGTTACCCAGAGCCTTATGCACTCAGAGGAAATCCAAAATCACCTATAAGTATTTGCTGGTCCCCTCTGGGCTTAGGGAAATCTCTAATTGCAGCTCTTGATTCAGCTTGGTCCAAGCTTAAATTCTACATTTGCCTGCATAACTTGTTCATGGGACAGAGGGAAGTTTAGAGGCAACTGACCATTTGGAGTTTTAGGACAAATGATGCAAGAGGGCTTGGCATCTGGATGAGAAGTGGAGGGAGAATAGAACAAAGGCACAGAAGGAGAGAGCACAATGAGAAAGGGAAAGAGGGACATCTGGACATAAGGGCCAACTGGAGGGCAGGGAAGGTAATTTTCCTTACATTTTAAACTCAGACCACATATCGCATCAGAATCACGTGAGGGAGACATTTTCAATGCATATTCCTGGGTTTCTTCTCTTGGAAGTTTTTATTTCTTAAATCTTGAGTTGTGCTGATTTATCCATATTTATCATAAGAATTTTGGATAATTCTTATTTAGGGAGGCCTAGGCAGGTGGATCACTTGAGGTCAGGAATTCAAAACCAGCCTGGCCAACATGGTGAAACCTCATCTCTACTAAAAATACAAAAATTAGCCAGGCATGATGGTGCACGCCTGTAGTCCCAGCTACTTGGCAGGCTGGGGCAGGAGAATCACTTGAATCAGGGAGGCAGAGATGACAGTGAGCTGAGATCATGCCACTGCACTCCAGCCTGGGCAACAGTGAGACTCCATCTCCAAAAAAAAAAAAAATTGTGGATAAATCTGATGCAGTTAGAAAACAAAGCAGAGCTTGACAACCACTGGGTTGGGACGTATATCAAGAAGACATTTGATTTGTAAAATAACTGCAAAACAAACTGAAGGGGAATTATTTTAAAATGCTTGAATATAATTATATAATTCAACTCTTCCTATGTATGTAGTTTGACCACATATTTGATGTCTGCTGTACTAAGATTGGAAATGCGTAGAAGTTTTTCTAAAAATCAGGTAGAAGCACAGAAAAAAGGAGTTGGAGAGAAAAGAAAACTAGCTGTTGTCTGGTAACAAGAGAAGAGAAGGGAAACGAAGTAGCATATTTTTGTTCATTGTTTGATGGCATCTAAATTATGATCCCAAATATTTTTTTTCTAAGAAATCCAATAATACAAGTATTCGGAGTGGAGTACCAACACTGATTTACTGGGAAAGAGAAGTGTATTCTGTTTTGCTGCACAATGTTGAGGGAGAAGGAAAGGAAAATTAGTTGAGTAAACAAGAAAGAGACTGGTCCTCAGGGAAGCTGTCTGCCTGAAAAATCACA
Source organism: Homo sapiens (assembly GCF_000001405.40). Lineage (NCBI taxonomy): Eukaryota > Metazoa > Chordata > Mammalia > Primates > Hominidae > Homo > Homo sapiens. Next base: position 96,971 of record NT_187528.1, on the reverse strand, counting down.
ACTACTGCACCTACAGATAAGCCCTGCACAGATGAGCATGCAGGGTCCAGCACAGACGCCTTCTGTTCTTTGTGTAATTGGCAAGCTCCCAGGAAAAATTTTCCTCCCTTTTTCAGGCATATACACGGTGGCCTCTGTGGGAACTTACACAGGGAGGAGGGGGGCTCACCTAAAACAAACCCACAGTTATACAACAAGAGAAGCCCACTTTGTGCTTGACTAGAGACATACCCACAGCTGGATATATGAAGGGAATTGTGCAGACAGTTTTATACATAGCTGAGAGGAGTTTCTTATAAAAGCTTTTTGATTCAACTATAAAAACGGCAATCCACTTGGACGCCCTTGTCTGCTGCAGAGAGCTTCCTCCTTTTGCTTATTAAACTTTCACTCCAACCTCACCCGTGTGTCCCGGTTCCTTAATCATCTTGGTGGTGAGATAAAGAACTCCAGGTGATACCTCACAAGAGAGACTGCTACATTGTGGTGCCTTGGCGAGACTGCAACTTTAAGAAGTGTGACTTTTATTGCTGCTGAATTATTTTATCTCCTACCCAATTGAAAATAAAGGATATAAAGTGCTTAGGTTGAACACAAAGTCCTCTGCTCTAGGTAACATCTTCAGCAGCCACATTAGTAGAGGGATGGGTGGTAATGGTGGAGTAGATGTCTCTTTGCTTCTGACAGGGTGTCTGCTTATGTGTTAAACAAAATAGTATGCTATATATTTCATTAAGAAATCTGCTAAAAAATGAAGTAAAACAGGTTCATGTTCTTAAGAGGCACAGTATTTGCTACGGCAGCAAGACCAAAAGGCTGAAGTAGCAAAAATGTGCATAGTAGTTACAAACATTTTCATATAAACAAAACAATGTGAGCATCTGTATATGACAATAACTCATGCAAAAAATATTTTTTAACTGAAATTGAAATCATACATAACAAATGTTATCACTGTATTCTGAGGTAATATATTGTTTGTATATAGATGTTATAAATAATAACTTGTTTAAGTTACTCATCATTTATACAACAAATAATTCTTTGGAATCTACAAAATGCTGGTTTTGTTCTAGGCACTGAATGTACAAATTGATTTAAAATATGTGTTCTTAGAGTGTGGTAGATTAAAAAATACAAAATAGGCTGGGCACAGTGGCTCATGCCTGTAATCCCAGCACTTTGGGAGGCCGAGGCAGGTGGATCACCTGAGGTCAGGAGTTCGAGACCAGCCTCACCAACATGGTGAAACCCCATCTCTACGAAAAATACAAAATTAGCCGAGGGTGGTGGCACATGCCTGTAGTCCCAGCTACTCGGGAGGCAGAAGCAGGACAATCGCTTGAATCCGGGAGGTGGAGTTGGCAGTGAGCCGAGATTGAACCATTGCACTCCAGCCTAGGCAACAAGAGCAAAACTCTGTCTAATATCTATACATACATTTTGTATATATACATATATACATATGTGTATATATATACATAATATATTTATACATATACATATATGGTATATGTATATTATATATGCATATACATATATATGTATATGTACATATATATCTGTCTAATATATATACACATATACATATATATGTATATGTGTATATATACATACATATATATGTGTATATGTATATATACGTGTATATATGTATATATACATACATATATGTATATGTATATATGTGTATATATACATATACACATATATGTATATATGTACATATACACATATGTATATATGTGTATACATATTTGTGTATACATATTTGTATTTTAATATTTGTATTTTTAATAGCGATGGGGTTTCACCATGTTAGCCAGGCTAGTCTTGAACTCCTGACCTCATGATTCGCCTGCTTCGGCCTCCCGAAGTGCTGGGATTACAGCCTCTGTTCTTATACATTACCCAATCTCATGGAGTTTCTTTATAGCAGGGCAAGGATGGCCTATTACACCCCCGCAGGATGTTATCCTTATTGAGACCAGTTGGCCAGAAGAGAAATTAAATTTACTGCACTCTGATTTGGTTGTTGGTCCTACAATCCTCAAATAAGATTGATCGTAAACTTCAAAAGTCTATTGACAAGGAAGCTATGCATGTTGTAAGTTCCATTAAAGAATATGATGATGCATGTGGGGACTTTTTTAGCTGGTTGTGTTGTTTACTGTCCTCTGATTCTATCTATAACTTTCTTGTATGCCCAATCTTCACTATTTTTATACATGTATTGCTATTTTATCATTATATGTCTCCTGTCAATGCCATGCCTATTGCAGGAAAAGAAAAAGATGCAATCAAAGACCCAGATCGTCATAAATTGTAGGATAGATCTGATCCAGGATGGCTTTTCAGATTGAACCCTGGGCCTTACTCCCTCTCACCACTTAAACAATTGGCTATTAAATCACGTCAGATTGTGTCCTTCTTCTATGATCTGAACTCACTAATATTGAAACTATCATCACCAATGACAGATGACCAAATAAACAACCCTGGGAATGAGACTTCCTAGCATTGTGGGACTTCCTGTTGGTTGTTGGCCTTCACATACATTCCATAAAATGATCTTTGGCCAATAGTGGGGACTGAGGCCTCAACTCTGACCTTTTATTCTCTTGCCAAAAATCCTGTCTAAGGGGCCTGGAGATTCACACTCTACAAGCCATAAAATCTCATGATTTTTTTTTCAATTAACCTGGTATAATGTGGCTTATTTTCCAACCTGACCCTGTGACAGCATCACATAACAGATGGCAGACCCCCTTATCTTAACTCAAGTATTCCTTTCTACTGACTTCATGTCTTTACACAGTGGTTTAACTCTCTTGACCAACTGACAACTAAAGAATTCCTAAAACTCACCTATGACTTGTAAGACCCCTCGTTGAGATGTCTTGCCTTTTCAGGATGAACCAATGTATACCTTCCACTTATTGATTTACAACTTAATTTGCAATTTGTCTCCATGAAATGTACAAAATCAAACTGTAAGCTGACCACCTTGGGCTCACTCTCCCAGGAGCTCTTAAGACTGTGTAACCCTAGGCCATGGTCACTCGCATTGGCTTAGAATAAAGCTATCTAAATACTTTGGCAGAATTTGGTTTTTCCATCACCACAGCTGAAAAAACTTGACCTTCACAAAACCACTTCTCTGTTTAGTAGAAATTTCCCAGGGCTACAAAGCCTTCCCTGTATGAGCTGCAAATCAAGCCAAAACGTTACCAGAGATGAAGAGATGGGGACAGCCATCAGGCCTGGGGATGGACCTCCCTGGAGCTGGGCATTCAAGAGGATGAGTGCAGCAGAAGGCGTATCCAGGGAGGTCTGGTCTGCTGATTTTTCTAGGCATAAAGCAAATTTATTTTTTAAATTAAAATAAAAATGCATGAACTTTCAAATGTACTTAGTGTAACATATTGAACTTAAATTCCAGTTTTCCTGGAATTACTTATGTCTTGAGCTAAAGGCTGTATTTGGTATAACAGGGAAGGAAAGAAATTATTTTTCCCACAAAATTAGTTTAAAAACACATATAATTAAACAAAATAAAAATATTATCTAATCTTTTAAAGAACATTTACTAATTCACAGATATTACCCGAAGTTTAGAAAACCACCTAAGAACAATTGTTTAAAAATTATTTAGGGAAAATGAAGCAAAATTGTTGTTACAACCTGAGATTTTAACAGCCAGTGCACTCCTGTTCCTCAGCTGAATGTCCCCTTCATTCTGAATGTCTGCAGTAGAATTGAATTGGGGAGCAGCTAGTTTCCAGGGAAATATTCACTCCTGTTTTGTTCTCTCCCCAATCTCAGCCTTTCGGTGACTGTTTGGGCAAAGCCTCCCTTGTGGTAGAAGATGCCTCACTTCTGGGGAGAGGAGGCTCCTCATCTTGCAGACAAGAAGCAGCACCCACTGGTTCCTGCTCCAAAAGCCATTAACATTATAAACTGGCCAGGTGCGGTGGCTCAAACCTGTAACCCCAGCACCATTTGGGAGGTTGAGGCAGAAGGATTGCTTGAGCCCAGGAGTTTGAGAACAGCCTGGGCAACAAAGTGAGACCCAATCTCTACAAAAACTAGAGAAAAAATAGCTGGGTGTGGTGGCACTCACCTCTACTAAGGAGGCTGGGCTGGGAGGATCTCTTGAGCCTAGGTGGTTGAGGCTGCAGTGAGCCAAGATCACACCTCTGCACTTGAGCTTGGGTGACAGAGTAAGACCCTATCTCAAAAAATAAAGTACAAACTGATTCACAACAACTTTGGTTTTGTCACTAAAATGCTGAATATTTTTGTTACAACTAATATGCAGAATGCAAACTGGCTATCACTACCATTCTGATAATGGTATTAGCTGTCCTACATACCTGACGACCTAATGCTTAACCTAATCTTCCTCTTTCCCACTTTGATGTGGAAACTTGTTGCAATAGAGTTCTTTACCCCAAAGTCTTAAGGAATTCAAGACAAGACTAGAATATGTTAAGATACCACAAAAACAAAAAATATGCATAGTTAAGAGCTTTCATGAGTAAGCAAATTTTATACATATAAAAATAATTTACATGCAAATGACCAAGAGGAAAGGTTAAGTGACTCTAGTGTAAATAATTAGTTTTCTGATCCTGCCAGAGCATATTAAGAAAAATTCACTTTGGCAAAATTATATGGATTTAAAGAAGTAACAAGTGGGTTTCTCTAAAGCACAGTTCGGCTTTTTACTAGAATATCAAGTCAGCTTTTTTGGGTGAGGAGAGTACAAAGGGAGTGGGCAGCTGGTGAAAATAAACATTTAAAATTACTTAAAACTTCAACGAATGGGATCTGTATTTAAATCTGTTTTGGTCTATCTTCCCTTTGTTTTTTCTAATCCCAACAATGCAAACCTCAGCCACTGTCAAGGGCAGTCTCAGACTGGGGGTTGCTGCCTAGGGTGAGGTTCTAGCAAGACTTACAAGCAGAGCTCAGGGAAAAGTCTGCATGGGAAAACAGAGCCAGACTTAGAAGGCATTGCTGATGAATCCCATTTTCTTATTACAGGAGAGCTAGCAAAAACTGCAATATGGTGTGTAAAGTCAGTGTAATCTTATGGAAATTATACCAAGTCACAACATGAGGCATGAGATACCTCAGATGTTGTTCCCTCTAAATCTCATGTTGCATTGTGATATCCCCAATGTTGGTGGTAGGTCTGGAGGGAGGTGATTGGATCATGGGGGTGGATTTCTCAGGAATGGTCTAGCATCATCTCCCTGGTGCTGTCCTTGTGATAGTGAGTGAATTCTTGCAAGATCTATTTGTTTAAAAGTGTGTGGTGCTTCCCCTGCCTTGCCAGGTGATGTGCCTGCCTGCTCCTTCTTCATCTTCTGCCATGAATAAAAGCCTCCTGAGGCCTCACCAGAAGCTAGGCAGATGCCAGAACCATGCTTGTACAGCCTGCAGCTATACAAACTTCTTTTCAAACCTCTTTTCTTTATATATTTCCCAGTCTCAGGTATTTCTTTATAGCAATGCAAGAATGGCCTAATACAGAAAATTGGTTCTGAGACATGGGGCATTGCTATAAAGATACTTGAAAATGTGGAAGTGACTTTGGAACTAGGCAACGGGCAGGAGTTGGAAGAGTTTGTAAGGCTCAGAATACAGGAAGATGAAGGAAAGTTCTGAATGTCTTAGAGACTAGTTAAATGGTTGTGACCAAAATGCTGATAGTGATATGGACAGTGAAGGATAGGCTGATGTGGTCTCAGATGGAAATGAGGAACTTACTGGGACTTCAAATAAAGGTCATGCCTGTTATGCCTTTGCAAAGAACTTGGCTGCAGTCTGTTCATGTACTAGGGATCTGAGGAAGTTTGAACACTCAGATGCAGGAGCAAAAAATGACTTAAAGTTGGAATTTACAATTAAATGGGAAGAGCAGACCATACAAGTATAGAAAATGTGCAGCCTGCCCATTTGGCAGAGGAAGATAAAGCATTTTCAGGGGAAGAATCTAAGCAGGCTGTGGAGCAACCACTTATTAGAGACATTTGCGTAACTGAGAAAAAGCTAGGTGCTGATAGCCAAGACAATTAAAAAAGGCCTTGAAGGCATTTCAGAAAGCGTTGCAGCAGCTCATCCCAGCACAGACCTAGAGGTCTAGGATGAAAGAATGGTTTCTTGTGTAGTGGGAATTTATAAGTTAATTAATTAATTTATTTATTTTGAGATGGAGTCTCATTCTGTCACCCAGGCTGGAGTGCAGCAGCACAATCTCAGCTCACTGCAAGCTCTGCCTCCCGGGTTCAAGCCATTCTCCTGCCTCAGCAACCCAAGTAGTTGGGACTACAGGCACCTGCCACCATGCCTGGCTAATTTTTTGTATTTTTAGTAGAGACGGGTTTTCACTGTCTTAGCCAGGATGGTCTCAATCTCCTGACCTCATGATCTGCCCACCTCGGCTTCCCAAAGTGCTGGGATTACAGGCGTGAGCCACCATGCCCAGGCTGCAGTGGGATTTTTTAAGGAATCAGAGACCAATGGGGTTGAGGAGGATATTTATTATTTAGTTGCACCGGCCCAGTCAGATTAACATCCAAAGGACTGAGTCCTGATCAAAGACTTAAGTTACCTTTTAAGCATTTTGTAGGGTGGTGGGGAGTGGGGAGATCTGTCCAGGGGGAAGCATATTACAGAAGCGAGAAACAAAGACAGTTATTCAATTAATTGAGACATGCATTATATCATTTCTTACTTTTCAAGGAAAAACATGTTTTACGACTTGAGTTTATCTGTCTAGTGACCTTGCAGCTGCGCAGCTAGAGGAACAGGGTCTTCACAATGCCTGGGAAAGGAGGAGAGATGAGGCTCACTAGCCACAGAAAAACCGGCAGTTAATTTTTAAAGGGCTCCAGCTCTTTCTCTTTCTCAGGGGGAATTGGGTTTTCTTACATACAACTGAGTTTCTGCTTACACATTCTTTAATTTCTTTTAATTCCTGTTCCACTTGGACCAGGGCCAGGGCACCACTGCCCTGTACCACCCCCAGGAGGGTGTTCCTTGCATCCTGGCCCTTCTAGCGCCAGCCTTGGTTCAAAGGGCTCCAGATAGAGCTCAGGCCATGGCTTCAGAGGGTGCTAACTATAAGCCTTGGTGGCTTCCATGTGGTGTTAAGCCTGCAGGTGAGCAAAGTGCAAGAGTGAAGGAGGCTTGGCATTCTCTGCCTAAATTTCGGAGGATGTATGAGAAAGGCTGGATGCCCAGGAAGAAGCCTATGCCCAGCTGGAGCCCTCAAAGAGGACCTCTTCTAGGACAGTGCCAAGTGGAAATGTGGGGTTGGAGGCCCCACACGGGGTCCTGACTCGGGGGGGCTGCCTAGTGGAGCTGTGGGAGGGGGGCTGCTGCCCTCCAGATCCCAGAATGATAGAGCCACCAGCAGCTCATGTCTTCAGTGTAGAAAAGCTGTGGGAGCAGAGCTGCCCAAGGCCTTGGGAGCCCACCCTATGCATCCTGGGAATGCTCTATGTTCCCAGGATGTGGGACATGGTTTCAAAGGAGATTATTTTGGAACTTCGAGATTTAATGACTGCCTTGCTGGGATTTGAACTTGTGTGGGGCCTGTAGCCCCTTTCTTTTGGCCAATTTCTCTCTTTTATAATGGGAAGGTTTACCCAATGCCCTGTACCCAAATTTTATCTTAGAAGTAAATAACTTGTTTTGATTTTACAGGCGCATCAGTGGAAGGGACTTGCCTTGTCTCAGAAGAAACTGCACTTTCGAGTGATGCCGAAACAGGTTGAGACTTTTGGGGGACTATTGAGAAGGGATGATTGTATCTTGCAATGTGAGAAGAACATGAGATTTGAAGGGCCAGGGATGGAATGAAATAGTTTGGATGTTGTACCCTTTAAGTCTCATGTTGAATTGTAATTCCCAGTGTTGGAGGTGGGGTCTGGTGGGAGGTGATGGGGTCATGAGGGCTGATTTCTCATGTTTAGCACCATCCTCTTGGCACTGTCCTTGCAAGAGTGAGTGAGCTCTCATGACATCTGGCTGTTTAAAAGTGTGTGGCACCTCTCCCTGCTTGCTCCTGCTCTGGCCATGTGACATACCTTCTTTTGCTTCACCTTCTGCCATGTGTAAAACCTCCCTGAGGACCCTTCTTGAAGCCAAGCAACTGCCAATGCAAAGCTTCCTGTACAGCCTGCAGAACTGTGAGCCAAGTCAACCTTTCTTTTCTGTATAAATTACGTAGTGCTTAGGTATTCCTTTATAGTAATGCAAGAATGCCATAATACGAGGCATAATGGTTTGCATTTTAAAAACGAAAATTAGATTTATGTAATTTATCATGAAAAGATGAAATGAGTTAATAATGAGCAATATCTACATGTTGTCTTAGAGGTGCTGATGATCTGTCAAGGAATTACATGCATTGATCAAGCAGTTTACCTTCAAGTTGAATAACAAGATATTCCTATCTAACATAACAAAATTTTGACATTATTTGGGGGACTGGAAATAATGCTAAATAATATCAGATTGTCAAAGTCAAATAAATATAGAGACAAACATCTGAAATTAAAATGTTTTATTTGAGATACAAGTATTACAATTTGACACATACATGAAGAATGGGTGTCTTTAGTGTGTCCAAAACATAAAGAGAAAGTTAGAGGTTTTATAAAGAGGGAGACAGAGAGAAAAATGGTGTGTATTTCTCTTTGAGAAAGTTCACTGGCACCAGTAAGGTTTTTGAGAGCTGGCAGGCTCTGATAGGTGAGGGACAGTGGTGGGTAAAACTAGTCTTAGTGTTGCAAGAGGTTGTTTCAGTAACCATTCGATAAAACTGGTTTCAGCTTAAAGCAGGTAATTTCAGCAGCCAGGCATGCAGAGAATTACGTTTTTGGAGTGGTGTTTTTGCCCTGAATGCCTCCTCCCCCTGGCTTCTTGATGGTTTTATTTGGTGTGACAAGAATGACCCAATTCATATGATCAATTTTTACATTTACCCCTTTCCATCAAGATCTTTCTCTTAAAGCATCAACCATGTCTATAGTTGTACAACGACTACAAGTTAGGCTTAATCATCCCTTAGTGCTAGGATGGACCTGTCCCAGTTGCTCCGTCCCACATCTGGGAAAGGTATGGAGGTCTACATCAGGTCTATGTCAAGATTTATGGCTTAAAACATCTATCCGAGGAAAAAATAAAACTGACCAGTAATCCCAGGAGGGAAACATACCTTGGCAAATTCGAAGATATTTCTAATTTTATTTAACAATTTTAAAATTAATTAATGTATCAAAGATTCACCTAACTCATGTCAAACAAAATATGTTTGGGTTAATTAATATATATTTTATATGAACATTCCTTTATTTAAACCATCCTTTTTTTCCTAGAATGATGGATTAGGGGCTTTCAGTGTGCCTCAGCCACTTGGAAGTAGAAAAATAAGCATAAAGATAAACTTTGTGAGCTTCAATTCAAGAAGAAAAATAGGAATTCACAGGAATAGAGAAGAACACTCCAGACCCTGTGGAGGGGGAGGTGGGAAAGCAGCCTCTGTGATAGCATTTGGTTCATAAAAGGGAATGAAACTCCAGTACGAGAGAAGAGCATCCAGTCTCCCTCTGCGACTCACCTTTCCACTGGGGATCTGTGCAACCCAGATTAAGGGAGAGCACTGTTTCTCCCAAGAAAGCACTTATGTGCTTAGAGCTAGCACAAAAGTGGCTGAGAGATGGGGAAAGAGGAAAGACACTCAGAAAAGCTGCAGGCATTTCCCCAGACCTGGGACTGAGCGAAGGATGCCATTTTTAATCTGGGCTCATACAAAGTCAATCATTCTTTGGTGCCTGGCAATGGTGGCCACTGCAGACACTTTAATCTTGGGCTAGGAATTGAAGTGCTTGCTCTGGAGCAGGGGAGCAGCCTCCACAGCCAGAATTGAGTGTTGAGTGTGGAAAGTGCCCCAGCAGTAGGTGTTGGAATTAGGCTCTCTCCTCTTGCAGGACTGTAGTGGGAAGAGAGTTGCTAAAGCAGAGGTTTCTCAAGGATGGTGAGACTTGCAGCCAAGAACAGCTTTGCAACCTGGAACTGGTCTGTGTGTGTCATTGCTGGGTGTCCCAGCCTGCTCTCTTGGTCAGTTGAGAGAGTACCTCATCAGCTCCAAGAAACAGGAGGGAGGTGAACCCCATTCCCCAGGAGACCTAAACTTTGGTGAGGACCAGCCCTAAGGGAAGGAGGAATACAGCTTGCCAAACCCACCCCTTGGGTCAAAGGAAACACGATCATGACATCAGCTGCTGAAAGGGGCACACCAAAGCCTGGGAACAGATTTAGAGAGGTGGTCATCTCTTGCCCTCTGTCCCCTTCCTAGTGCACTGCTGCAGACCCAGTAGTGGTCACCCTGTTGGGGCCCAAGGAACGTGAGCTGAAAGAGGCTGCTTCTTAGGTTTCTCCAGGACTCTGCCCCTGCTGAAGACTAGTACACATGGGGACAGGGCACTTTTGGCACTTTGTCACTTCTGAACCTGTCGAGGACAAGTACACAGAGGAGAAGACCCTGCAGCCAGCTGTTACTCTTAAGCACTGTCTACTGCACTGAAGCCTGAATTACACCACCAAACAAAAATACATCACCACATCAAGCCACCATAGGAGCCTATCTGCAACCAAGGAACTTGTACAGAGCCTTGGTCCTCTGAAAGTACCCAGAAATGAAGCAAATTGATCCTATACAACACACACCACAGTCACACACTTAAGAGAAAGAAAGAATGAAAAATTAAAAAAAAAAAAACCTCCTTCCAAATGATATCAAATTCAACAAAAGAAGCATCAAGTCTCTCAGATGAGAAGAAACCAGCACAAGAACTCTGGCAATACAAAAAGCCAGAATGTTCCATCACCTCCAAAGGATTACACCAGCAACCTAGCAATGAGTCCTAACCAGAATGAAATGTCTGAAATGACAGGTATAGTATTCAAGATATAAGTGGCAAAAAAATTCACCAAAATCCAACAGAAAGTTGAATCCAACAACAACCCCATAACAACGATCCTGGATTTGAATGACAACATAGCTATATTGAGAAAGAACAAAGCAGAGCTTCTTGAATTGAAAAATTTACTATAGGAATTTCAAAAAACAGTTGGCAGCCTTAGCAACAGACTAGACCAAATAGAAAAAATAATTTAAGAGCTCAAAGACCAGACCTTCGAATCAACCCAGTCAGACAAAAATAAAAAAAAGAATTTAAAAATAATGAACCAAACTTTTGAGAAATATAGGATTATGTAAAGGAACAAAATCTATGACTTATTGGCATTTTTTTTTTTTTTTGAGACAGAATCTCACTCTGTTACCCAGTCTGTAGTGCAGTGGCATGATCTTGGCTCACTGAAACCTCCACCTCCTGGGTTCAAGCAATTCTCGTGCCTCAACCTCCCAAGTATCTGAGATTACAGGCATGTGCCACCATGTCTGGCTAATTTTTGTATTTTTAGTAGAGATGGGATTTCGCCATGCTGGCCAGGTAGGTCTCAAACTTCTGGCCTCGAGTGATACTCCCACCTTGGCCTCCCAAAGTGCTGGGATTACTGGCATGAGCCACTGTGCCTGGCTGACTTATTGGCATTTCTAACAGAGAAGAAGAGAATGTAAGCAACTTGGAAAACATTTTTGAGGATATAATTCAGGAAAGTGTCCTCAATCTTGCTAGAGAGGTCCACCAGCTGATACAAGAAATCCAGAGAACTCCCGTGAGACTGAAGGTAGGCAGTGAAGCATATGTTTGCATTCTTGTGTGGCTCTGATTAGCATCAGGATATCTACATTTTACATAGGAAAGGAGGGAGCAGAGGAAACAGTTAATTATGTGTTCATCTCGCATTCAGTAAATCTTCATTTTACATAAGATAAAGTCAGCATGTGAATAGAGGGAGTGGAATAGAGGAAAAGTCAATGATTCATTCATCTCAGGATAGGCAGAGGGATGATTTCTGGTCCTGACCTTGTCCCAGAACTATGAAAATAACCTGGTAATTGAGATTGTCAGGGTGAAATTGAGCCGACTCACTTTTAGGGCTAGTTTATAGGTGGGATGTGCATTCTGAAAGATTTAGGGGCTCACAGCAAATTGTGAGGGAGGACATGTGAGGAGACATGCAGCCTTCTGTCACTGTGGGAACCTGGCTTATGGATGAGGCTATGACACAGGGTTGTGAAGTTATAGCTATGTGTTTGAGAACAAGGAAGGAGTATTGCGTAACTCAGTTCCCAAGCTTAATTTTCCCTTTGACACAGTGAGCTTGGGGTTGGGTCTCTATTCTCTTTTCTCTCACAAAATCATATGGGAACATTCCAGAAAATGTGAGGTTCTGCGCTCACTATTAAATAAAAATGACCAGGAGAGCCATGGGTAAGCTCCCTCCTCAGTCATCAGGACCGCAACAGAGAGTTTTCCCCTGTGTGGACGGGGTCCTGAATTCTGCAGGATCCCGTGGGGACACAAGTGTCAGGATAGAGGCACTCATTCAGCCAGGTACAGTGTCTCATGCCTGTAATGTCAGCTACACTGGAGGCTGAGGTCGCCTTGAGGCCAGGATTTCGAGACCAACCTGGGCAACGGAGCAAGATCCCATATCTAAAAATAAAATTAGCCAGGTGTGGTGGCATGCACCTGTAATCCTAGTTACTTGGGAGGGAGGCTGAGGTGGGAGGATTGCTTGAGCCTAGGCGTTGGAGACTACAACGAGCTAGGATTACACCACTGCACTCCAGTCTCGGCAACAGTAAGACTCCGTCTGTAACACCAACCAACCAATTCTGTGTTTTGAGTGTAAATTACCATAGCCTTTGTAACAGAAATTAGGCAGCAACTCTCATCATTCAAAATGCATAAGCAATTTGGCTAAGCAATTGTACTTCTAGATTATTTACTTATTTATTTATTATTGGGACAGAGTCTCACTCTGTCTCCCAGACTGGAGTGCAGTGACATCATCTCAGCTCACTGCAGCCTCCGCCTTGTGGGTTCAGGCAATTGTCCTACCTCAGCCTCCCAAGTGGCTGGGGCTACAAGTGCGCATCACCATACCCAGCTAATTTTTGTATTTTTTGTAGAAACGGGGTTTTGCCATGTTGGCCAGGCTGGTCTCAAACTTCTGACCTCAGGTGATCCACCCACCTCGACCTCCCAAAGTGCTGGGATTACAGGCACTAGGTCCCTAATTTAGAGCCATATTCTTTAATGTCTGAAAGCACTCTTGCATATTTATTACTGCATTGTTTGAACTTAAATATCCACAACAGGATAACAGGACAACTAAACAGTTAATTGCCCTATGGCACATCCATCTGTTAACAAAATGAAATCGATCTTTTTGTACTGCGGTGGAAAGATTTTCTGAACATAGTTCAGGTAAAAAGAAAAAAAGACCACTGTTGAATAATGCTTCTGGTATAACACAATGTGCTTGAAAATGTACACAATACACTGTAATATCCAATACATACATCTATCAAAGTAAATATATTTTATTCTAGGGTAATTATTAAAACATTAAGAAATACTCTTTAATAGTATATGTTAAAACTTGTAGAAAATCAATAACATACAAGTAAAGAAGATCAAGAAGCCAAAAAAAGTAATTCCAAGTATAGGATGCATGGTGAAAAGTGATGGAAGAAAACTGCAGAAATTTAAAATGCAAAATTAAAATACAGCCCTATAATTCATGATACATAATTCTTCACTGAACCCCGAATCTGTCAGGACATATGTGTGATCTTGGATAACGCATTCAACCTCCTTGACACTGAAGTTTCTTGACTGTAAACTGTTTTAGAGATGTTCCTCACCCAGTTGCATGAAGCAAACCTCTGTGTGTTAAGGCACTTCCCACAGCATCTGCGACACAGAACAGTGGCAGCTGTGCTCTTCGTGGTCCCTGCACACAGACCCACAGCAGTATGTTGTGTTTTTTTTTTTAATATAAAAGGCTTTGAAAATGTCCCACAGGTTCCTCAGTAACTGACTATCAAAAGGGGCAGCCTTCAAAAGTAGAATTCTGGCAAATGTCTTCAAAAGACACGAAATTCTGGCAATGGGCACATTTCCCCCTCCCGCCTTGCTCTTCTGGATGGATCCCTTCTCTCCCACAGCATATTCGTTTCCTTCCACTCCACTGTAAAAATTGTCCTTCTAGTGGCAAGAGTGACGTAAGTGATATGCGGCAATTTCTTTCCAAGCCTGCTTGGAGGAGCTTCCTCTGCCTGCTTCTCTTTGGCCACCTCCAGGGCTGCTCTGTCACCCCCAACAGCATGGACCTCACTGCAGTCACTCTGGAAGCCTCCCTCAAAAGGAAGCTTGTGCAGGAAACATCATGCATCGAGCAGCATGGGGACAGGGGCTGGCCAGCTGGGCAGGGCTCACACTCCTGACACCCAGACTCCACGATACTCCTCTGTCCCCACCCAGGGCAGATCCCTGCCCTAAAAGTTTTCCCTCTCATGTCCAGCAAATGCTGCATGGAGCCCTGGAATTCTATGTGGAAAGCTAGGAAGAGGGAGAGCTGAAATGAGGATGTAATCACCCTTTCCAAAGAGGTCAGTCCAGTACTACCCTGTGCTCTACTGGGCAAGCTCTCCAGGCTGAGGGAACAGGAGCAGGGGTTATGTCAGGTGAAGGTGGAAGTGAGGGACCTCCCAGGAGGTGTAGAATACTCCACTAGGGACACCTTATACCCTTCCGGGATTAGACCTTGAGGCCTGGAGATCCCCAGGCAATTAGTATTGAAGGTTGAAAGGCCAATGACAGGAATAGGAAGGCCCACTGTGTCATTCACAAATCACTTCCAAACCCATCACCACAGGTGACCCTCACAACAACCCTGTGAGACCTGCAGGGCACGGGCTCTCACAAAGGAGGAGTCGGGAATGTCAAGATTTTAACACCTTCTCCAAGTCAGGATCAGAAAATGCTGCCCCAACACTGACCTATATTCCCTATGCTTCCTCCCACAAAAGAGCTTAGGGTGACTGCCAACTTGTGGGCAGAGACCCTCACTTTCCAATCCCCATGAGGGGCTGTGCAGTGGGGAGGATGAGGCCCCCTCCTCTAACTGTCTCCTCCAAGACCCTGTTTTCTGAGGAAGGTCACTCTGGGAACTGTTGGCCTCTGCAGATGGGGGCCTGGACCATGTGGAAAGATGACGTGAAGGTCACACCTGGCAGGGACCAGGGTTGGAGGGTAAACCTCACCTTTAAAAGCTCACACTTTTTATTTTAAATTTATTTTTATTTTTAATTTCTATGAGTACATAGTAGGTGTATATATTTATGGGGTACATGAGATAGTTTGACACAGGCATGCAATGTGTAATAATCACATCAGGGTAAATGGGGCATTCATCACCTCAAGCAAGGGAAATGCTAGATGCTTATAAAACCGTCAGATCACATGAGAACTCACTTACTATCATGAGAACAGCATGGGCGAAACTGCCGCCATGATTCAGTTACCTCTCACTGGGTCCCTCCCATGACACGTGAGGCTTATGGAAATTACAGTTCAAGATGACGACATTTGGGTGGCAACACAGCCAAACCATATCATCTTATAAAATGAATAATGTGAAAATAGCACTGGGCCTGAGGCCTGGCCCCTGCTGTGTGATGCCCCCTCTTGGGGAGAGCCTGGCTTCTGTGCCATGCAGAAACTTCCCTGTGCTTCCTGTGGGCTTGGGGTGAGCCAGGCCCTCCTGGGGGAGCTGGGCACTGTGGGACAGAAGGGTCCCTGGCCTGGGGTCTCCATTTGCCTCCTTACCCCATCAATGAAACACCAGAGGAACCAACTCAACAAACCTCAATGCACGGCCCTTCCTGGACCATAGGTGCTCACGGCCCCCTGAGCTGCCCTGGGGCAGAACACTGGGCAGTGGCCAGTGCTTCCCCAACAACTCCCCCATGCACAGATGCCTGGTGGACATACTTCCTTTAACCCTGCTCAGCTGGAGCTCAGCCCCCATCCTAGTACCTCTGCCTCCTCCTCCAGGGCAGGAAAAGAAAACCCAACCCCAAACCCATGGAGAATCCTCACCTTGGGCGAGGCCCTGGCTGGGACTCAGTCTCTTGTCAGACCCTCGAGGAGCTCCATCTTTCCCTGTTTCCCTGCCCCATGGGACCCCGGGCCTCTGGGAAAGAGTTGAGGGTGTCATCCACTCAGCAGGTACCGCATGATCTTTGGGAAGGATTTGTGTTATACCTGCTCCTGGTGGGATGGGAGCCTCTGGAGCTGGGCAGTATTTGGGCTGTAGAAAACTGAGAAGCCCCTGACCCATCAGGCATCAGAGCCCACTCCCAAGATGTGGAGCCCTCAGCTGGAAGAGCTGGGAAGTGGCAGGGGACCCCGGACCCTGAGGCCTTCCTCCCTTCCATCAGGTGACCCTAACACGTGGCCTCAGCTCTACGGAGGTGGGCCCTAGCCGGAGGCACTGCACAGCAGCATCCTGGGTAGAGGTGCCAGGAGGGCAGGCCTGCCTTTGAGGCTGTGAGGCAGGGCTGACGCAGGCAGTGGCCAGTGGAGGGAACCGGGTGGGTGCCAAGGGGCTACATGGCCTCTCCCAGACATGGGGTCGGGCTGGGGGACATGGGTTGGGCAGACACTGCCATCTCGACTGCATTGGCCCATCTGTGGGCTGGGACGGCAGCTGGGAGTGTGGCCAGCTGGGAGGTAGGAGGACTCTTGCGGAAGTGACAGTCACCTGCATGAACTCAGGGCTAGAGAGCTGTGGCTCTGGGACACACCGGGTGGCGAGGGGGAGGCTGCAGTGCCCTCTGCTGTTGGGGATGAAAGGTGCCTGCCTTGAAGTGAAAGGGTCCCTGTTCAGCTCTGGGCTCCTGTGGGACCCTCAGCAGGGATGTCCTGAAGGCTCCTGACAAGCTGGAAAGCAAGGAAGCTGCCTTGCCTGGAAGTCAGGATCGCCCAGCCAGGGTGGCCATCCCATGGCCTGGCTGTGTGAGGTCTGGGGGTAGCTGTCCGCCTACCCTGCAGGGAGTGCCTCTCCTCAGCCATCAGCTGATCCAGTGCCCAGAAGGTGTCTTCCTCTGGCAGATACAGGAGGAGGATGGCAGTTAGGCAGCTCATGTCCCTGTGCTAGCCCACCTCCTGCAAGGGCCAGAGTCACCATGGAAGCATGTCACCTGAGAGGGCTGAGGCCATCTGGGAGGACTCATGTCACTGGAGAGGACAGAGGTCACCTGGGAGACCTCCCTCTGGCCCTAGCGGATTTAGGGTGCAGACTCTGCACCCCTCCCCTGACCCTGGGCGTGAGGACTAAGCAAGTCCCCCACAACTCAGTTGAAAAGGGACCTGGAGGGACTTCTGCAGTGAGTGTCCAAACTCACGTAGTCCGAAGGGGCACAGGCAAGGATCATTCATGTCCCCTATCCTGGGACAGGCTGAGAAGGCCACTGTGCCAGGCCTGGGGCAGCACCTGTGAACTGCACCCACCACGAGGGCAGGCGATGGGCCACTGATCACCACACAATGGGTCCTGTGATGGCGCAGGGGCTGCCTGCCAGGCACAGGAGGGCGGCTGGGTCCAGACCCCACGTGGGCAGCCCATGGAGTGAGCTCAGCGGCTCTCCGTGCCTGGAATGGTCTGGGAAGTGGGGGCCAAGCAGGAACAGCCACCTGGGTGACCTCCTCCCTGTCTACTGTGCTCCTACGGGGTTAAGGCAAAGGGAAATTGGATCCCTGCCAGGTTTCCAATGAAAAGGTTTCCTCAGGATGCAAACTCATTTCATGACAAGAGCCTGGCCCCATCAGGCACCTCAGCAGCTTGTCAAACATGTCTCCTGCAAGGACTATCCTGTGTGCAACACTGCTAAGCTCCTTGTTTGGGGCAGCACCAGGAGGGGAGGGTCATTTCTTCTTCTGAGACATGGTGGTTGGGTCCAGGCGACATCAACAGTCTGGGCCCTGACCCCTTTCTATCTCAGCGGGACCCCTTGAGACACCAGCTTCCCGTCCGTGCTTGGGTGTCCACGCCAGCAGTTCTACCTACTACGTTATTACAGCCAGATCAGGATAAATGTCCTCTCTCTGGAATAAATGCAGTGACCACTGTTCTTTGAGCATTATTTATCTTAAATTATTGTTTTAATTAGAAATGTATCTAACTTATATTAGCCAAATTTCCTTTCAGTGTAACCAAATTTCTTTTAAGTGAAAATTAAATATTTACCTCCTGTTATCAAGCATTCTATGAATACAAAATATTTATTTTTTTCAACTTTAGAAGAAATTGAAAATGTCTGCATGCTACTAATCTAAAAATACAGGCTCTGGGTTTATATGGTGTTAACCTTTCTTCCAAATTTTAAGGAATAGATATTTAAATGCCATCCACTTTGTTTTAAAACACATAAAATGTTTTAAGCTTTTGACCTCAAAATTTACAGTAGCACAGCTACTCCGTAATGAATAAACCACGGAATCAAAACAAAGAAAGATTCTACAGACCAGTCTAACCAACAATACAATTATAAACTAGTGGTTCAAATATCAAAAACCAATTTCAATGACAAATACATGGTATGAAAACCCCGCAAAGGTCAAGTAGAATATATTATACTTGAATGAAATTATGAGTTGAGAGTAGGAAATCTATGGTTAACCAAACAAATTAAATAATGTTTATGAGGAAATTATACTGCTAATGTTTTATTATTTGGCAAGCTATTCAGTGGAACACAAAGATATTCTTAATGAAGTTGAAAATATATTTTAAAATGTTATTAAAGTGGATTAAAAAATAATGAGGACATGAATAACTTTAAAAAGTATTCAGGGATAAAGAGAGAAAAATAAATTTAGATTTCATACATAATTAAAATATATTTTAAAAGTTGTGTTTTTTGGTTGCTCAAATAAAAGGAGCAGATACTTAAATTCCACGCTTTTCATTTTAAAGTTTAGGAAATGCTTATAGCTTTCCACACTGACACTTATACTAACACAGTTAATCTAATCTAATGTAATCGATAACAAAATCAAAGCAAGCAGAATTCTCTTGACCAATCTATTTCCTTGATTTTTAAAAGTAAATGTACTCTCAAAGAAACAAAACTATTATTCCTGGATTCTGTTATTTGAAAATATTTACTGATCATTTACCTTACACCAAGTGATCTCCAGCTCATGGAAAAATATGTAACGTTGCCCAGCTTCATTAAGCTTAAACTCTTCTGAAGAAGAAAAGAAGCAATGGAGTAGGGACATTAAAGCAGGAGTGTGGTGATATGGCTGAGACTTCTACTTGCACACTGTGGTAGCTGTGTGGAGACTGGATTGAAAAAAGGGCAATGACAGAAGCTTAAATTAGTATCAAATAAAGTAATCCTATAATTTTAAGGGTCCTTGAAATAAGAATGTATAATAGTTCTCATTATTTCCCCAAGAAATCTCTGCACTTGGCCTTGTGAGAGAAGCGCTATAGTTACCAAGTGGTGGGGGTGGGAATGTGAATTTGGAAACAACATTTGGAATTATTATACTTTAAAGGTAAAGCTGGCAGGAATTCCATACACATCAGATCTGAAAATGTGTGTGTGTGTGCGTGTCTGTCTGTGTGTGTTTGTGTGTGTGTGAAGCAGGGAGAGAGAGCAAGAGTGACAGTGAGCAAGAGAGAGAGGAGAGAGAGGGAGAGAATCAGACAGATACAGAAAGAGAGTGACAGAGCTACAGAGACAGAATTAAAAGGGGACACCAAGAATATTGAGCTGAGAAACTATAAAATGGGAGTTGCCATTAAACAGAATGGGGAAGAGCAAATTTGGGGAGTTTCAGTGGCTCCATATAGACATATTAATTTTGAGATTCCTAACTGACATCCATGTGGATAAGTCAGGGAGTGCTGGGTGTAGTGTCCAGTATTTAAGTGTAATGTGAAATATCAGGAAATTAATGACACAAAAATCAGTAAGAAAGCAAAGATAAGAAAGATAAGCAGTCAAAGTCGTGAGCCTAATCGTCCTCTGACATTTAAAAAATAGTAAAGATGAAACCTGCAAAAAAGGACTAGAGGTAATTATCAAAAACATGGTGGAGGGAAAGTAGGTTAAGTGTTCTGGAATTCTATAAAAAAAGTTTTACAAAGAGGAGGAGGAGATCAACTGTGTGAAATGCTGCTGATATATAAATTAAGACGAAGTCCGAGGAGTTATGGTTCAATTTATAATTTAACAATATGCATAGCACTTATGTTTTGATACGAGCAGCTTCGTTGGAGTGAGTAGGTGAGAAACCATACTGGAGTGTTTGCTGAAATGAAAGTCTGATCTCTGGATTCTTAAGGAAAAATTTTATTGGACTGCAGAGGCATAAATTGGACTTCTAATTCTGGAGTCAGGATGTGCTCAGTAAACATGTGCCCATCAATGCCTCCTCGCATTTTTTTTTAGCTAGGTATTCTGTTATCTTTTAATAATACAATAATTACCTGCAAAACCTACACCCATTTTGCACATTTTGCAGCAAACCATGACACATGTATATCTATGTAACAAACCTGCACGTTCTGTACATTTATCCCATAACTTAAGTATATATATATATATATACTTGTGTCTGTGTGTGTGTATACATATATATATGTATATACTTGTGTGTGTGTGTGTGTGTGTATATATATATATATATATATATATATATATATATATATATAAATATATAAAAGAAAGAAAAAGAAAACCCAGCCAAGTGCGGTGGCTCATGACTGTAATCCCAGCACTTTGGGAGGCTGAGACAGGTGGACCATCTGAGGTCAGGATTGAGAACAGCCTGGCCAACATGGTGAAACCCTGTCTTTACTATAAATACAAAAATTAGCTGGGTGTGGTGGGGGGCACCTGTAGTCCCAGATACTTGAGAGGCCAAGGCAGGAGAATCACTTGAATCTGGAAGGCAGAGACTGCAGTGAGCCAAGATCACACCACAGCACTACAGTCTGGGTGACAGGGTGAGACTGTCTCAAAAAACAAAAACAAAAACAAAAACAAATACAAAAAAACACCCATTTAATTGACAAACTTTACAAAGACTGATACTGGAGGTTGTTGGAGAGGACGTTGTTCCACATAATATCTTATGAGTTGCCGATGGAAAAGTAAGATGGTAAAATGCCTTTGAAAAACTGACCATACCTGCTATACTTAAATATTCAGATACCAAACACCCAGAAATTCCATCTTGTCATTTATTTCCACAAGAAAAAACAAGAGACCTGTATTAAAATATCCACTTCTATTAAAAATAATCACACTACGTTTCCTGAAATTTTTTTATTAATAGCTCGTTTTCAGCAGTACAACCTCTAATATATGTGTATATGTATATGTGTATATACACATACACACATATGTATATGTATACATACACACACATATGTATATGTATACATACACACATATATGTATATGTATACACACACATATATGTATATGTATACACACACATATATGCATACGTATACACACATATATGTATATGTATACATACACACACATATATGTATATGTATACATACACACATATGTGTATATGTATACATACACACACATATGTATATGTATACATTCACACATACACACATATGTATATGTATACATACACACATACACATATATGTATATGTATACATACACACATACACATATGTGTGTATGTATACATACACGCATACACATATGTGTATATGCATACATACACGCATACACATATATGTGTATATGTATACATACACGCATACACATATATATGTATATGTATACATACACACATACACATATATGTGTATATATGTATATCTACATATATACATATACACATATATGTATATGTATATATGTATATATACACATATACACATATATGTATATGTATATATGTATACGTATATATACACATATACACATATATGTATACATATATGTGTATATGTATGTATACATATATGTGTATGTATATATACACATATATACATATATACATATATTCTTATACATATATATGTATATGTATATATACACATATACATATATATGTATATGTGTATATATATTAGACAGATATATATGTACATATACATATATATGTATATGTATATGTATAATATATGTATATGCATATATAATATACATATACCATATATGTATATGTATAAATATATTATGTATATATACACATATGCATATATGTATATATACAAAATGTATGTATAGATATTAGACAGAGTTTTGCTCTTGTTGCCTAGGCTGGAGTGCAATGGTTCAATCTCGGCTCACTGCCACCTCCACCTCCCGGATTCAAGCGATTGTCCTGCTTCTGCCTCCCGAGTAGCTGGGACTACAGGCATGTGCCACCACCCTCGGCTAATTTTGTATTTTTCGTAGAGATGGGGTTTCACCATGTTGGTGAGGCTGGTCTCGAACTCCTGACCTCAGGTGATCCACCTGCCTCGGCCTCCCAAAGTGCTGGGATTATAGGCCTGAGCCACTATGCCCAGCCTATTTTGTATTTTTTAATCTACCACAATCTAAGAACACATATTTTAAATCAATTTGTACATTCAGTGCCTAGAACAAAACCAGCATTTTGTAGATTCCAAAGAATTATTTGTTGTATAAATGATGAGTAACTTAAACAAGTTATTATTTATAACATCTATATACAAACAATATATTACCTCAGAATACAGTGATAACATTTGTTATGTATGATTTCAATTTCAGTTAAAAAATATTTTTTGCATGAGTTATTGTCATATACAGATGCTCACATTGTTTTGTTTATATGAAAATGTTTGTAACTACTATGCACATTTTTGCTACTTCAGCCTTTTGGTCTTGCTGCCGTAGCAAATACTGTGCCTCTTAAGAACATGAACCTGTTTTACTTCATTTTTTAGCAGATTTCTTAATGAAATATATAGCATACTATTTTGTTTAACACATAAGCAGACACCCTGTCAGAAGCAAAGAGACATCTACTCCACCATTACCACCCATCCCTCTACTAATGTGGCGCTGAAGATGTTACCTAGAGCAGAGGACTTTGTGTTCAACCTAAGCACTTTATATCCTTTATTTTCAATTGGGTAGGAGATAAAATAATTCAGCAGCAATAAAAGTCACACTTCTTAAAGTTGCAGTCTCGCCAAGGCACCACAATGTAGCAGTCTCTCTTGTGAGGTATCACCTGGAGTTCTTTATCTCACCACCAAGATGATTAAGGAACCGGGACACACGGGTGAGGTTGGAGTGAAAGTTTAATAAGCAAAAGGAGGAAGCTCTCTGCAGCAGACAAGGGCGTCCAAGTGGATTGCCGTTTTTACAGTTGAATCAAAAAGCTTTTATAAGAAACTCCTCTCAGCTATGTATAAAACTGTCTGCACAATTCCCTTTATATATCCAGCTGTGGGTATGTCTCTAGTCAAGCACAAAGTGGGCTTCTCTTGTTGTATAACTGTGGGTTTGTTTTAGGTGAGCCCCCCTCCTCCCTGTGTAAGTTCCCACAGAGGCCACCGTGTATATGCCTGAAAAAGGGAGGAAAATTTTTCCTGGGAGCTTGCCAATTACACAAAGAACAGAAGGCGTCTGTGCTGGACCCTGCATGTTCATCTGTGCAGGGCTTATCTGTAGGTGCAGTAGTTGTGATTTTTCAGGCAGACAGCTTCCCTGAGGACCAGTCTCTTTCTTGTTTACTCAACTAATTTTCCTTTCCTTCTCCCTCAACATTATGCAGCAAAACAGAATACACTTCTCTTTCCCAGTAAATCAGTGTTGGTACTCTACTCCGAATACTTGTATTATTGGATTTCTTAGAAAAAAATATTTGGGATCATAATTTAGATGCCATCAAACAATGAACAAAAATATGCTACTTCGTTTCCCTTCTCTTCTCTTGTTACCAGACAACAGCTAGTTTTCTTTTCTCTCCAACTTCTTTTTTCTGTGCTTCTACCTGATTTTTAGAAAAACTACGCATTTCCAATCTTAGTACAGCAGACATCAAATATGTGGTCAAACTACGTACATAGGAAGAGTTGAATTATATAATTATATTCAAGCATTTTAAAATAATTCCCCTTCAGTCTGTTTTGCAGTTATTTTACATAATCAAATGTCTTCTTGATATATGTCCCAACCCAGTGGTTGTCAAGCTCTGCTTTGTTTTCTAACTGCATCAGAATTACCCACAATTTTTTTTTTTTGAGATGGAGTCTCACTGTTGCCCAGGCTGGAGTGCAGTGGCATGATCTCAGCTCACTGTCATCTCTGCCTCCCTGACTCAAGTGATTCTCCGGTCTCAGCCTCCCAAGTAGCTGGGACTACAGGCGTGCACCACCATGCCTGGCTAATTTTTGTATTTTTAGTAGAGATGAAGTTTCACCATGTTGGCCAGGCTGGTTTTGAATTCCTGACCTCAAGTGATCCACCTGCCTGGGCCTCCCAAAGTAAGAATTATCCAAAATTCTTATGATAAATATGGATAAATCAGCACAACTCAAGATTTAAGAAATAAAAATTTTCAAGAGAAGAAACTCAGGAATATGCATTGAAAATGTCTCCCTCACGTGATTCTGATGTGATATGTGGTCTGAGTTTAAAATGTAAGGAAAATTACCTTCCCTGCCCTCCAGTTGGCCCTTATGTCCAGATGTCCCTCTTTCCTTTTCTCATTGTGCTCTCTCCTTCTGTGCCTTTGTTCTATACTCCCTCCACTTCTCATCCAGATGCCAAGCCCTCTTCCATCAATTGTCCTAAAACTCCAAATGGTCAGTTGCCTCTAAACTTCCCTCTGTCCCATGAACAAGTTATGCAGGCAAATGTAGAATTTAAGCTTGGACCAAGCTGAATCAAGAGCTGCAATTAGAGATTTCCCTAAGCCCAGAGGGGACCAGCAAATACTTATAGGTGATTTTGGATTTCCTCTGAGTGCATAAGGCTCTGATGCTATAGACCAAATGTTATTGTCCCCCTCAAATTCCAGTGTTGAAATCTAATTCCCTATGTGATGATATTTGGAGATAGGGCCTTGGGGAATGATTAGATCATGAAGGCAGGGACCACATGAGTGGGATTAGTATCCCCTATTGAAGGCACCATAGAGAGCTCCCTCATCCCTTCTGTCATGTGAGGACATGGTAGAAACATGGCTGTCTATGAACCACAAAGCAAGCCCAAACCAGACCTGGAATCTTCTAACCACTTGACCTTGAATTTTGCTATCTCCAGAACTGAGAGAAACAAATTTGTTTATAAGCTTCCTCATCTATGGCATTCTGTTTTGACCCCAGATTAGCTGAAAACACCAAAATATCAACTTGTACACCAAATTTTGGAAATGGATGCTAAAACTTTGATGGCAAAAGGTGACTGATCTGCCTGAGAAATGAACCTACATGATCCCTCTTTCCACAAGGCTGAAGGGAGAGTCAACACAAGCAAAAATAGGTCAAAGTCTTCTAAAAGCCATACCTGAAGGGTTTTCAATATCACTTGATCAGATGGTAATTTAATCACAGAAAGAACCACAACAAAACATACAACTATCAGAGGTTTTCAACATCGCCTCAAAAACACCATCTACAATATTAGGGAGTGAAAGAAGTCATGGAAGTTTCAAAAAGTCAAACTTTATTTCAGTGTTATGGTAGAAATTTGAAATTCTTAGGTAAGCTATGAATAAATCCTTGGGCAGGTGCAGGCATACAGATTCTGGGGTGCAGCTGCTGAGTTTAAAAGCTTCCTTTGGAGATGCCCCTGGCCCCCTCACCCCCTGTCCGCCTGTCAAGAAGAGGCCATCCTGGGCAGCACATTAGGGGCAAATGGCCCAGATGCCCAGCTGAGGGCAAACCTCCATGCCTGGAGGAGGAGGTCGCCTCTGGGAGCAGGAGGACCTGCTGGAACCCCTGCTCACAGGCTCCTTTTCTTGCTCTCCAGCACCTCCTGCAGGCAGGCAAACACCCCCAGCAGCAGTAGCAGCAGGCCCTTCAGCAGCAGGGCTGCTGCTCTGCTGAATGGGAGAAGTCCCTCTCCAGTGAGGCAGAGGAGCCCAGATTGCAAACCCTGGTCTCTGCCTCCATAGCTTCCACTGTGCCCAGGACTGGGAGCAGTGTGGGAGCTGCTGGCTGGAGCTGTGCTGGCCACCCCTCTCTGCCACCTCTAGCTCCAGCCACACTTTCAGCTCCAGGGCTGAGGCCGGTGGCTCTACAGGAGGTGCCATGAAGTCAGGCAGCTCCTCACTGGGCTGGTCCTGGGCAGTCCCAGGGCAGCGGCAGGAGGGCTCTGGAGCTTCCTCTAGCTCCAGCGCTGTCCCTGGAGGGGAATCTGCCCCTGGTGCTGGCACTGGCTCAACAGCTGGCACTGGAAATCGCTGTATTTCTGCACCTGAAGCAGGAGCTGAAAAAGGAGAGAGGTCACCAATACCACTCACTTTCCACTGGAATTTCCAAACATGAAAACAACCTCATTGAATTTAAAGGAATTTCAGCCTGAAAACATTGTCCCTGGAAAGACTTCCAGACTGCAGGTGACCTCAGCATGTGCCTGTGTCTCAATGAGCTCCAGAGGCTCCAGCTGGACAAGGACAATGTGCAGATGTGGCCCTGGTGGGATCACTGGTGAGGCCTGGCCTGGTAGCTCCATCTGGGGCCTGATGTCTACCTGGTGACTCCTGTCCTGTGGTACCTGGGGGGGGCTTCTGCCAAATGGCCAGAGGCATCTGGGGTGAGGGATGAGCCTACAAGGGCATCATCAGCAAAGAAAGGCTCTCACTCCTGCCATTCCTGAAGCAGGAGCCTTGAGATGTGGGGATGCAGCACAAGAACATCTTGCTCTCTTGAGCGTCTCCCACCAAGTGAGCTGGCTATGGGGCTAATGCTAGGATGTGGGTGCCCGGTTATCGGGATTCTTTTTTTTTTTGAGACATAGTCTCATTCTGTTGGCCAGGCTGGAGTGCAGTGGCATGATCTCGGCTCACTGCAACATGTGCCTACTGGGTTCAATCAATTCTCCTGCCTCAGTCTCCTGAGTAGCTGGGATTACAGGCATGAGACACGCACCACCACACCTGGCTAGTTTTTTGTGTTTGTTTGTTTTTTGTTTGTTTGTTTGTTTGTTTGTTTGTTTGTTTGTTTTGAGACAGAGTTTCGCTCTGTCGCCCAGGCTGGATGGAGTGCAGTGGCGCGATCTTGGCTCACTGCAAGCTCCGCGTCCCGGGTTCGTGCCACTCTCCTGCCTCAGCCTCCCGAGTAGCTGGGACTACTGGCGCCCAGCACTACGTCCGGGTAATTTTTGTATTTTTAGTAGAGATGGGGTTTCACTGTGTTAGCCAGGATGGTCTCGATTTCCTGACCTTGTTTGTTTTTTGTATTTTTAGTAGACATGTGGTTTTACCATGTTGGTCAAGCTGGTCTCGATCTCCTGATTTCATGATCCTCCTGCCTTGGCCTCCCAAAGTGCTGGGATTACAGGTGTGAGCCACCGTGCCTGGCCTGGTTACCAGAATTCTAAGTTCTGTTAGGGTCTGTTGCCAAGGAAGTGAGGTCGCTTCTTTAAGTTTCCATCCCCTCGGCCTCCTCCTTCCAGAAAACCTTCTCAGGACCCCAGTGGGCTGCTGACTGCTCACCCTCCCCACAGGTCAACTCCTTACCTGTACACAGTTATGTCCACCCAGGGCCTGCTTGGACACCTGCACCTGATGTTCACCAGAGACCTAGGAATCCACTTGCAGCCTGTGATCCTACAGGGGCCTAATGTTACCCTGCAGATTGGGTAGCCACCTGGGGACTGTGGTTGACCTGCGGGCTAATGTCCACCTGGGGACTGGTTACTCACCTGAGGCCTGATGTGCACCTGGGGCCCGATGTCCCCCTCAGGGTGAATTCCACCTCAGGCCTGTATGTCCACCTGGGGCCTGATGTCTGCCTTAGGTCTATGTCCCACTGGGACCTTATGTTCACCAGGGACTGGTATCCAGCTGTGGCCTGATGACCTACTGCATTCTGTTGCTCACCTATGGGCTGGTGTCTACCTGGGGCTTGGTGATCACCTGGGAGCTGGGTATCAACCTGGGGCCTGGGTGTCCACTTAAGGCCTGATGTGTGCCTGGGGCCTGATTGTCCACCTGGGGACTGGGTGTCCACCTTGGGTCTGATGTCTACCTGAAGTTATTTATCTACCTAAGGCTTGGTGTCTACCTGTGGCCTGATGTCCACATGAGTCTGGGGTTCGGTTGGGGCCTGCTGTACATCTGGGACCTTGGTGTCTATCTGAGGCCGGATGTCTACCTGGTGACTGCCATCCTCTTGAGGCCTGATATCCACCTGGGAATGGTTTATCCATGGAAACGTTTATGTCCACCTGGGGCTGGATGTCGCCCAGGGGCTAGATGTCCACCTGTGGCCCTGTGTCCACCTAGTGCCTGATGTCCACCTGGGGCATGGTGTTCACCTGAGACCCGGGTGTTTACATAGGGCCTGATGTCCAGCTGGTGCCTAGGTGCCCACTGGGGGCCTTGTGTTAACCTGGGGACTGGTATCCAGCTGGGTCCTAATGACCACCTGGGTTGAATTACTCACCTAGTGTTTGGTATTCACTTAGGGCTTGAGTGTCAGCCTTGGACCTGGTGTCCACCTGGGCCTTGGGTATCAAACTAAGGGTTTGGTGTCCAGTTGAGACATCAATTGCACCTGGAGTCTGAGTGTTTGCATGAGGCCAGATGACCACTGGGGGCCTGAATGTCAACCTGGTGTCTGAAATTCACTGGGAGCCTAGGTATCCACCTGGGGCCTGATGTCCACCTGGGACTAGGTGTCATCATGTGGCCTGATGTAAACCTCTAGTTCAGTGTCCACCTTGGTCCTGGTGCCCACTGGGGGACTGATGTTCACCTTTGATCTGATGTCCACCTGGAAACCCTGTATTCACCCATGGCCTGATGGTCACCTGGGGTTGAATGTCCAACTGTGGCCAGATGTGCACCCGGATCCTGGGCATCCACCTGGGGCCTGATGTTCAGCTGGGGCCTGGAGTTCACCTGAGGCACAATGTCCACCTGAAGCTTAATGTTCATCTGAGTGCTGGATGTTCACCTGGCGCCTGATATCCACCTGGAGCCTGAGGACCCTTCTCAGGCCTGATGTCCACAAGTTGGCCTGGTATTCGTCTGGGGCCTTCATGCTAATGTGGCTTAATGTACTCCTGGGTTCTAGTGTCCTCTTGGGACCTGATGTCTACCAGGATCCTGGTATCCACCTGGGGCCTGGTATCCACCTAGGGCTTGATATTCACCTGGGGCCTAAGAATCCACTTGATAACTGGTGCTCATCAGGGTCCTGATGTTCACCTTGGGACCGGGTAACCACCTGAGGCTTGATGTCCACTTAGGGCATAAGTGTTTATCTGGGGTCTAGTGTTCACATGGGGCCTGATGTCAACCTTGAGCCTAGGTATTCATCAGGGGACTAGTGTCCAGCTGGGGCCAGATGTTCACTTGGGGTCTGGTGTCAACTTGAAGCATGGTTGTCAACCTAGGACCTGATGTCCAGTCCAGTGTCCACCTTGGGCCTGTTTTCTAACTGGGGCCTGTGTGTCCACATAGACCCTGGTGTCAATCTGGGGCCTGGGTATTAACCAGGGGCCTGGATATTCATTGGTACATTATGTCTACTGGGGTCTTTGTGTCAATCTGAGCTCTGATGTCCACCTAGAGATTGGGTATCCACCTAAGGCCTGGTGTTTACATGGGGCCTGTAACACGAGGTTCCAGATGAACTCAGATGTCCACCTGATGCAGTGTTCACATAGGGCCTGCTGTCAGCTTGGGACCTAAGTATTTACCTAGGGCCTGGGTGTCCACCTGGGGCCTGACTTCCAACTAGATCTTGTGTCAACATGGGGCCTGATGTCCACTTTGGGCCTAGGTAACTTCCTGATGACTAATGCACACATGGCTCCTAAGGACCATCTGAGGCCTGGTATTAATTTAGAGACTGGTATCCACCTGGGGTCCAGGTATCCACTTGGGACCTGATGTTTACCTGGAGTGTAGGAATTCACGTGGGGCCTGGTGTCCACCTTGAGTGTGTGTATCCAATTGAGTGCTGGTGTCCACCTGGAGTCCAGTGTATACCCGGGGCCTGATGTACATATGGGGCCTGGGCATCCATCTAGGACCTGATGTTCAGATAAGGGCTGGCGTTCTCCTGGCCTGGTGTCCATGTGGAGCCTGGGTGTACACTTGGAGCCTGATGTCCCAGGTGGATACCTGGGCCCCAGTGGTCATCGGATCCTAGGAAACTCTCAGGCCCCAGGTGCACATAAAGCTCCAAGTGGCCACCTAGGCCACAGGTTGATACACAGGGTCCAGGTGGACACTGGGTGCAAGATGAACACCAGGCCCCAGGTGTCTGCCTAGTCCTCAAGTGGACACCAGGCACTAGATTGACACACAGGTACCAGGTGGATATCAGGCCGCAGGTGAACACCAGGCCCCAGGTGGTTGGGTTACTTATAGCATAGGTGGCCATCAGTTCCCATGTCTATAGCCACTCCCCACCTGAAAATCAGGATCCAGGTGGATACCCATGTCCTAGGTGAACACCAGTTTCCAAATGGACATCAGGCTCCAAGTGAACACACAGGCCCCAGTTCAATACCAGCCTCAGGTAGACATCAGGACCCAGGTGGACCCCAGGCCCAATGTGCATGCCTAGTCTCTTGGAATACATCATTTTCAAGGTGGACACCCAGATTCCTCGTAGACATCTGATGCCAGGTGGATATCTGGCTGCAGGTGGACATCAGGCCCCAGGTGGAGGAGACCCAGTACACAGCTGTAAATCAGGCTCCAGTATTTCATCAGGCCCCAGTTAAACACTTGACTAAAGGTGCGCATCAAGACCCAGGTTGACCCCCAGGCTTCAGGTGCACACTAGGCCCAAAGTGTACACCCGTGCCCAGGTGGGCATCAGGCCCAAGGTGTACACCAGACCCCAAGTGGACATCAGGTTCCAGGTTGACACCAGTCTCTAGGTAGATCCTTAAGTCCCAATTGGTCATCAGGCCCAAGGTGGATGGATACCTTGACCCCAGGGGGTCACCAGGTCCCAGGCAGGCCTCAGGTGGACACTAAGCCCTAGGTTAACACAAGGTCTGAGATGGTTTCAGCCCCCATGTGGACTTTAGTCATAAGGAGCTTACCTAGGCCCTATGTGGACATCAGGTCCCAGGTTGACACAATGAACCATGTAGAAGTCAGGCTGTAAGTAGACACCCAGGCCCTAGGTAAATACTTTGGTCCCAAGCCAACATCAGGCCCTATGTGGACATCCAGACTCCAGGAAGATGTCAGGCCCCAGGTGAACACTGAACTCAGGGTGGTCATCAGGCCCTAGGTTGACACATAGGCCTCAGGTAGACAACAGGCATAGGTGAACTTCAGGCTCTAGATGAATGTTGGGCTCCAGGAAGAAGTCTGTGCCCCAATTAAACACTGGGTCTTAGGTAGACATCAGGCCTCAAATGGATGCCCAGGCCCCAGGTGGATATAAGGCCTCAGGCCCCAGGTAGACATTAGACACGAAATGGACACTCAGGCCACAAGTGAACATCTGTCCCCAGGGGGACATCCATCCCAAGGTGGACATCAGGCCAGAGATGTACACCCAGGCCCCAGGAGAACCCCAGGCCCCAGGAGGACACTCAAGTGCCAGAAGGACACCCAGTCCCTAGGTAACTACAAGGCCCCAGGTGGACATGATGTTCCAGATGGATATGAGGCCCCAAGTGGATACTAGGCCCAGGTGGACCCCAGGTCTCAGGGGCACACCAGGCCCCAGGGGAACACCAGGCCCTAGGTAAGCATGCAGTCCCAGGTGGACATCAGGTGCCAGGAGGACACCAGGACCCAGTTGGTCATCAAGCCACTGCTGAACACCAATTCCCCATGAACACCAGTCCTCAGGTGGGCACCTAGTCCTCTTGTGTGCATCAGGTGCCAGGCTGACATAGGCACCAGCTGAACTCTGGGCCTCAGGTGAACATCAGATCCCAGGTTGTCACCCAGGTCCCAGGTGAACACCAGGTTTTAGGTGGACACGAGGTCCTAGGTGGATGTCTATGCTCCTGGTGAACCTCAGGCCCTAGTGGACACTCAGGCCCTTTATAGACATCTGGCTCCATATGCACTCCCAGGGCCCAGGTAGACATGAGGCCCCAGAGGAACACCAGTCCTTAATCAACTAAGACTGAATTCCCCTAGGGCTGGAGACTGAGTATTCACCTTGGGCCTAGGAATCTACCTGGGGCCAGATGTCGATCTGGGGCCTGATGTCTACTCAGGTTCAGCTGTCCACCTAGGGCAGGGTGTTCTTCTGGGACCCAGAGTCTACCTGAAATCTTGTTATCAACCTGGGTCCTATGTGTCCACTTGGAGTCTGATGTGCACCTGAAGCCTGAGTTTTCACCTAGGATCTGATGAGCACCTGGGGCCCAGGTTTCCATCTGAAACATCAGGCTCTAGTTATACATCTGGGCCCCAGGTATACACTAGACACGAAAGGAACTCCAGCTCATATCTTAACATGAGGTCCTAGGTGGATGCCCAGGCCTCATGTCTACATTAGGCCTCAGGTAGACACGATTCCAGGTGGGCATCAGGCCTGATATTGGCTCTATGTCTCCACCCAAATCTCATGTTGAATTGTAATCCCCATGGGTTGAAGAAGGGGCCTGGTGAGAGGTGATTGAATCATGGGGGCAGACTTCCCACTTGCTGTTCTCGTGATAGAGTTCTTACGAGATCTGGTTATTTGAAAGTGTGTAGCACATCCCCCTTCTCTCTCCCTCCTCCTCTCCCATGGTAAAAAGGGCTTGCTTCCTCTTGGCTTTACATCATGATTGTAAGTGGCCCGAGCCCGCCCAGTCATTCTCCCTATTAAGCCTAAAGAACTGTGGGTCAGTTAAACCTCTTTTCCTCATAAGTTGCCCAAAATCAGGTAGTTTTTTATAACAGTGTGAAAACGGACAAGGTCTTAGGATAACGACCATGCTTCAGGCCATAGGTGGACATCTGGCTGCAACTGGACACTATTCCCCAGGTGGATACCTAGGCTCAAGGTTGACATTAGTCCCCAGGTAAACAACAAGCCCCAGATGAATACCTATGCCCTAAGTAGACATCAGGCCTCAAGCTGACACTCAGTCTAACCTCAACATTAGGCTCCAGGTGGACACCCAGACTCCAGGTGGACACTAGACCCCAGGGGTACACCAGACTCCTGGTAGGCATAAGGCCCCAGGAGGACACTAGAATCCAGGTGTACATAAAGCCACTGATTGACACCAAGCCCTCAGATGAACACCAGGCCAACTAGTGGACGTTAGGCACATGAGAATACTTGGGCACCAGGTAGGTATCAGGTCCCAGGTAAACATCAAACTTCAGGTGGACATCATTCTCCATGTGAACTCTAGCCCCAGCTAAACATCAGGCTCCAGGTGGAAGCCCAGACCCCAGGAGCACTTCTGACCACAGTTGAACATCTGTCCCCAGGTGAATATCAGACCATGGAGGGATAGCAAGTCCCCAGGTAGACATCAGGTCAAAAGTGAATATAAGTCTCTAGGAAGACATCTGGCCCCAGGTGGATACTGAACTAGAGGTTTACATCAGGCCCCAGGTTGACAGCAAGGCCCAGGTAGACAGCAGGCCCCAAATGAAGACCAGGCCCAGGTGTATACTGAACTAGAGGTTTACATCAGACCCCAGATTGACATTCAATCCCCAGGTGGTCATGACACCTCAATTGGACACCAAGTCCTCAGGTTGATACCCAAGTCCCCGGTGGACACCAGGTCAAAGATGAACACAAGACCTAAGGTTGACACTCAAGCCCCAAGTGGACACCAGGCCCTAGGTGAATAATATGACCCAGGGGATCATTAGGACCCAGCTGCATACCAGTCCCCAGGTGTACATGAGGCCCCCAGTAGGTTCCTAAGCTCTAGTTCGACATGAGGTCTCCAGTAGAGACCCAGGACTAAGGTGGACATCAAGCATCAGATGGACGTCTGGCCATGGATGAACATCAAGCCTCACATGGATACCTAGTCCCCAGGTAGACATCAGACCCCAGTTTGACATCAGTTTCTGGGTGGATCCCTAAGCCCCAGGTGGATATCCAGTCTCCAGCTGAACATCAGCCCCTCGTGGACGTCCAGGCCCCAGGTGGATATCAGGTCTCAGGTGAACACAAGTCCCCAGGCAGACATCAGGCACCAGGTGCACACTCAGACCCCAAGAGGACATGTGTCCCCAGGTTGACATCACTCTCAAGGTGTGCATTAGGCAACAGATGTACACCCAGGTCCAAGGCAGACACGAGTCTCCAGTAAAACTCAAGGCCCCAGGAGGATACTCAAGCCCTAGGTGGATGCCCAGATCCCAGGTAATTACAAGGCCCCAGGTGGATATCAGATTCCAGATGAACATTAGGCCCCAAGTGGATAACTAGGCACCAGGTAGACAGGAGGCCCCAGGTGCATCCCTCAGTCTCAGGTGCACACTAGGCCCCCGGTGAACACTGGCTCCAGGTGAGCACCCAGTCCAAGGTAGACACCATGACCCAGGTGGTCATTAGGCCACAGCTAAACACCAATCTCAAGTGAACACCAGATCCCAGGTGGGTACCTAGTCTCCAGGTGGATATCGGGCCCCAGGTGGACACCCAGCCCTCAGATGAACATCAAGCTTCAGGTGGACATCATGCCTCAGGTGAACTCCGGGTCCCAGCCCAGCTGAACATCAGGCCGCAGGTGGATGCCCAGGTTCCAGGTGCACAACAGGTCACAGTTGGACATTCAGCCCCATGTGAACATCGGGCCATGGGTGGACAAAGAGTCCACAGGTGGACATCAGGTCAAAGGTGAACATCAGTACTCAGGTGGACATCAGGCTTCAGGTTGACATCAAGCCCAAGGTGGACACTGAACTAGAGGTTTACATCAGGCCCCAGGTTGACACCCAGGCTCAGGTGGACATTAGGCCCCAGGTGGATACCTAGACCCCTAGTAAACCTCAGATTCTAGGTTGACATTCAGGCCCCCAGTAGTCATTTGGCCCCATGTGGACACTCAGGCGCCAGGTTCACATGATGTCTTAACTGGACACCAAGGGGCCAGTCTGATACCCAAGTCCTATGTGGGTGCCAGGTCCAAGGTTACACTCAAGCCCCAAGTGGACACCAGGCCCTAGGTGAATAATACAACCCAGGTGGTCATTAGGCCCCAGATTGACACCAGTCCCCAGGTTAACCAGAAGCCCCCAGTGGGTACCGAGGCCCCAGTTGGACATCAGGCCTAATGTGGACACCCAGGATCAAGATGGACATCAGGACTCACGTAGACATCTGGTGACAGGTGGACATCAAGCCTGGTGTGGATACCTTGTCCCCCGGTGGTCATCAGGCCCCAGTTCAACACCAGTCCCTGGGTGGATTCCTCAGCTCCAGGTGGACATCCAGTCTTCAGCTGAACATCAGACCCCAGGTGAACACCACGTCTTAGGTGGACATTAGGCCCCTGGTGGACATAAAGTACCAGTGGACATCCATGCCACAGGTAGACACCCAGGGCCCAGATGGGCATCAGGCTCCATTTGGACATTGAGGCCCCAGGTGGATATCAGGCCTCAGGTGAACCCTAGGTCCAACATAGACATCAGGCCGTAGGTTGACACTCAAGCACCAGGTGGACTGCTGCACCTAAGCAGAAAACAGACCCCTATCTAGATATCTAAGATACAGGTGTACAACAAGCCCCAGGCTGACATCCAGACCCCAGGTGGACAATATGCCCCAGGTGGACAGCATACCCCAGGTGAACAGCAGGCAACAGTTTGGCACCAAGGACCTAAGTGAAACAAAGCCTTAGGTGATTACCAGGCCATAGGTAGTCATTAGTCTCCAGCTGGACAATAGTCCCTAGGTGGATACCTAGGCCCCAGGTGGACACTAGACCCCAGATTAAAACAAAAACCAAGTAAAAAAATCAAGCCCCAAGTGGACAACCAGGCCCTAGGTAAATACACAAATCTCAAGCTGACACCAGGCCCTATTTGGACACCCAAGCCCTAGATGGACTTCAGGCCACAGGTGAACACTGAACTCTAGAAGGTCTTCAGGCACCGTGTTGACTACCTGGCCCCAGGGGGACACCAGGCATAGATGAACTTCAGCCACCAGCTGTACATCAGGTTCCAGGCAAATGTCCAGGCCCCAAGTGGATATCAAACCTCAGATGAACACCAGGCCCCAGGTAGACATCACAAACCAGGTGGACACTCAGGCCCCTACTGAATATCCGTCCCCAGGTGGACATCCATCCCAAGGTGGACATCAGGCCACAGATGTACACTTAAGCCTAAGGCAGACCCCAGGCCCCAGGAAAACTCCAGGCTCCATGAGGGCACTCAGACCCCCGGTGGATGCACTGGTCCTAGGTAAATACAAGACCCCAGGTAGACATCAGGCTCCAGTGAACACCGGAGCCCAGGTGGGTACCTAGTCCCCAGGTGTGCATCAGGCAGAAGGTTGACCCAGTCCCCAGCTGAACTCTGGGCCCCAGCTGAACATCATAACCCAGATGGTCACCCAGGCTCCAGGTGAACACATGGTCTTAGGTGGACATCAGGCCCCACATGAACACCCAAGCCCCAGGTAGATATCAGGCCTTAGGTGTACACCAAGCCTCTGGTGGGCATCTGGCTCCAAATGGCCATAGGTGGATAACTAAGCCTCTCCTGGATATCAGGCCCCAGGTAGACACCAGGCTCCAGGTGAACATCTAGCCCCAGGGGGACATCCAGCCCCTGGTGGACATCAGGGCTCACATGGATAAACAGTTTACAGATGGACACCTGCCACAGGTGCCTCACCTCTACTCCCTGAAACCTCACTTCCCCTCAGGGCCTTCTGTCCAGCTTGGGGTACCCCTAGCCGCCCTAGGCGCACACTGGACCCGAACCAGGGACGCCAGGGTCCCTGGGGCTCAGCGCAAGGGTTCATAGGAATACACTTTCATCCGTGGGGGACCCAGTCCCCGCTTCTCGGCGGCGCAGTTTTGTTTTGTTTTTTTTTCTCTGTCCCAGGTGCCTCACCTTCCTCTCATGGGCCTTCTGTCCACCTTCGGGTACCCCTAGCGGCCCGAGGCGCACCCTGGGCTCAAACCAGGGATGCCAGGGTCCCCGGGGCACAGCGCAAGGGCTGATGGGGAGACACTTTCTTCCGTGGGAGAGCCAGGCCCCGCTTCTCCTAGGAACGGTTTTTTTTTTTTTCCTCTGCCCCAGGTGGGTCACCTTCCCTTCATGGGCGTTCTGCCCGCTTTGGGGTACCCCTAGCGGCCCCAGGCACACGCTGGACTCGAATAAGGGTCGCCAGGGTCCCCGGGGCCCAGCGCAAGGGTTGATGGGAAGACACTTTCACCTGTGGGGGACCCAGGCCCCGCTTCTCCGCGGCGAGGTTTTTTTTTTTTTTTTCTCTGCCCCAGGTGCCTCACCTTCCCCTCACGTGCCTTCTGCACGCTTTGGGGTACCCCTAGCGGCCCGAGGCGCACCCTGGGCTCGAACCATGGAAGCCAGGTTCCACGGGGCCAAGCGCAGTGGCTGATGGGAAGGCACTTTCGTCCGTGGGGGACCCAGGCACCGGTTCTCCGCTGCGCTTTTTTTTTTTTTTTTTCTGCCACAGGTGCCTCACCTCTCTTCCCTCAAACCTCAGCTGAAACTTTTGGGCCTTCTTTCCTCCATGGGGTACTCCTAGCAGCCTGAGGCGCACTGTGGGCTCGAACCAGGGACGTCAGCGTCTTCGGGGCCCAGCTCAAGGGCTGACGGACACTTTCGTCCGTGGGGGACCCAGGCCCCGCTTCTCCGCGGGGCGGTTTTTCTTTTTCTCTGCCACAAGTGCCTCACCTTCCCCTCATGGGCCTTCTGTCCGACTTGGGGTACCCCTAGTGGCCAGACGCACACCCTGGGTTCGAAACTGGGACACTAGGTTCCCCGGGGCCCAGCGCAAGGGCTGATGGGAAGACACTTTCTTCCTTGGGGACCCAGGCTCTGCTTCTCCGCGGCGTTTTTTTGTTGTTGTTGTTGTTTTGTTTTTTGTTTTTTGTTTTGCTTTTCCCCAGGTGCCTCCCCTTCCCCTCATGGGCTTTCTGCCCGCCTTGAGGTACCACTAGCGGGCCCGAGGCGTACCCTGGTTTTGAGCCAGGGACGCTAGGGTCTCCGGGGCCCAGTGCAGGGGCTGATGGGTAGGCACTTTCGTCCGTGGGGCACCCAGGCCCCACTTCTAGGCGGCGCAGTTTTTCATTTTTTTCTCTGCCCCAGGTGTCTCACCTTTCCCTCATGGGCCTTCTGTCTGCCTTGGGGTACCCCTAGCGGGCCCGAGGCGCACCTGCGGCTCGAACCAGGGTGGCCAGGGTCCATGAGGCCCAGTGCAGGGGCTGATGGGAAGGTACTTTCGTCCGTGGGGGACCCAGGCCCCACTTCTGGGCGGCGCAGTTTTTCATTTTTTTCTCTGCCCCAGGTGTCTCACCTTTCCCTCATGGGCCTTCTGTCTGCCT
Organism: Homo sapiens; assembly: GCF_000001405.40. Classification (NCBI taxonomy): domain Eukaryota; kingdom Metazoa; phylum Chordata; class Mammalia; order Primates; family Hominidae; genus Homo; species Homo sapiens. Next base: position 58,288 of record NT_187528.1, on the reverse strand, counting down.
TGGGGTACCCCTAGCGGGCCCGAGGCGCACCTGGGGCTCGAACCAGGGTGGCCAGGGTCCATGGGGCCCAGTGCAGGGGCTGATGGGAAGGCACTTTCGTCCGTGGGGGACCCAGGCCCCACTTCTCCGTGGCGCGGTTTTTTGTTCTTTTTCTGTGACAGGTGCGTCACCTCTCCTCCTTCAAAGCTCACCTTCCCCTCATGGGCTTTCTGCCTGCCTTTGGGTACCCCTAGCAGACCCGAGGCGCACCCGGGGCTCGAACCAGTGTCGCCAGGGTCCACAGGGTCCAGTGCAGGGGCTGATGGGAAGGCACTTTCGCCCGTGGGGGACCCAGGCCCCGCTTCTCCGCCGCGCGGTTCTGTTTTTTTTTTCTTTTTCTGCGTCAGGTGCCTCACCTCTCCTCCCTCAAAACTCACCTTCCCTTCATGGACTTTGTGCCCCCCTTGGCACAAAGCGGCCGAGGCGCACCCTGGGCTCGAACCAGGGACACCAGGGTCCCCGGGTCCCAGTGCAGGGGCTGATGGGAAGACACTTTCTTCCGTGGGGGACCCAGGCCGCGCTTCTCGGCGGCGAAGTTTTTTTTTTTTTTTTCTCTCTGCCCCAGGTGCCTCACCTTCCTCTTCAGGGCTTTCTGCCCACCTTGGGGGACCCCTCGTGGCCCGAGGCGTACCCTGGGGTCAAACCAGGGACGCCAGGGTCCCCAGGGCCCAGCGCAGGGGCTGATGGGATGACACTTTTGTCCGTGGGGGACCCAGGCACCGCTTCTCGGCGGCGCGTTTTTTTTTCTCTGCCTCAGGTGCCTCACCTTCCCCTCATGGGCCTTTTGTTCGCTTTGTGGTACGCCAAGCGGTCCCGAGGCGCACCCTGGGCTCGAACCGGGGTCGCCAGGGTCCACGGGGCCCAGTGTAGGGCCTGATGGGAAGGCACTTTCATCCGTGGGGGACCCATGCCCCGCTTCTCCGAGGCGCGGTCCTGTTTTTTTTTTCTGCCCCTGGTGCCTCACCTCTCCTCCCACAAACTTCAACTTCCCCTCATGGGCCTTCTGTCCGAGTTGGGGGTACTCCTAGCGGCCCGAGGCATACCCTGGGCGCGAACCAGGGATGCCACGGTCCCTGGGGCCCAGCGCAAGGGCTGATGGGAAGACAGTTTCCTTCGTGGATGACCCAGACAGCGCTTCGCGGCGCATTTTTTTTTTTTCTCTGCCCCAGGTGCCTCACCTTCCCCTCATGGGCCTTCTGCCCTCTTTGGAGTCCCCCTTGCGGCCTGAGGCTCACCTGGTCTCGAACCAGGGATGCCAGGGTCCACAGGGCCAAGCGCAGGGCCTGATGGGAAGGCAATTTCGTCCGTGGGGGACCCAGGCCCCGCTTCTCCACGGCGCGGTTTTTTTTTTCTCTGCCCCAGGTGCCTCACCTTCCCCTCATGGGCTTTCTGCCCTCCTTGGGGTACCCCTATCAGGCCCGAGGCTCACCCTGTGCTCCAACCAGTGTCGCCAGGGTCCACGGGGCCCAGCGCAGGGGCTGATGGGAAGAAACTTTCGTGTGTGGGGGACCCAGGCCCCCCTTCTCCGTGGCGCGTTTTTTTTTTTTTTCTGCCACAGGTGCCTCACCTATCCTCCCTCAAACCTCACCTTCCCCTCATGGGCCTTTTGTCCGCCTTGAGGTATCCCTAGCGGCCTGAGGCGCACCCTGGGGTGGAACCAGGGACGCCAGGTTCCACTGGGCCCAGCGCAGGGGCTGATGGGAAGGCACTTTCGTCTGTGGGGTCCCAGGCCCTGCTTCTCCGCTCGCGCGGTTTTTGTTTTTTTTTTTTTTTTCTCTGCCCCACGTGCCTCACCAGCTACTTGGGAGGCTGAGTCAGGAGAATTGCTTGAGTCTGGGAAATGGAGGTTGCAGTGAGTCAAGAGATCACAGCACTGCACTCCAGCCTGGGCAACACAGTAGGAGTCCATCTTAAATAAAGAAAGAAAGAAACTAAAGACAAAATAGGCATCACTGAAAAAGTTGGAATTAGTTAATACAGGGAAATATTAGGATGAATGATATAAAAGAACTAAAATCAAAATGAAAATAAGTATGCTGACTCCTCACACTCTCTTTTATCTCCATGATGAAATAAATACAATTTAAATACCAAGATATGATATACATATCAAATGAGTTTTGAGGAAGGACAGTAAAACGTAACCATGCATCTTGTATTAATAAACCAGATAACCTATTACATATGGTTTAGCAGTAAGATTTGATAATATATGTATTTCATATTATTTCATGAGAAATATTTAGATTATACATGGATTTTTCTAGTAAGATTTGATTATATGTATTTCATATTTCATAAGAAATATTTAAATTATACATGGATTTTTCTAGTGGCAACTTCATCTCCCACTTACTTTTTTTTCATAGTACTGACTAGATTTTAAATTACTGATCATAATGTGTCCTAGTTCACTGAGATGATAAATAGCAAAACATTTTGAATTTAAATAAAGGACAGAAATTTTAAGTTTGATTTTTCTACTAAGCTGAGCTAACTTCCAATTAGATTATTTAAGATCTCACAAACAAAATAGTATCACAGCAGGACATAACCTCAGGATTCCTTTTCACTTCAAGTTTTTTACTTTCAAAACTCCCACCTTTACACTATATTGATATGAAAGGCATCAAGACCCATAGACGGGAGGTAATGTTATAAATGTACAAATCTCTTATCTATATTTAGAGTTATACTTTACATAAAGATGTTCCCAAAACAGAAATAATATTATTAGAAATACTAAAATTGAATTTCATTAATAGCTAATTTAGATAATAATTATGAGAAAAAAACATGTATTACACTTCATTGTACCTTACATTTTTCTCATACCTCCATTCACTAGATTTGCCATCAATTCAAAATTAGATAACCCATGAAGGAGCTCATATATATGTATATGTACTAATGAAGCACTACTATGTTACTTTTGGAATAAAAATTAATGCTTATCTATATAACTTGCCCATTAAAATCCCCAAGCATGGCAGTGTGTATAGTCAAAATAGCTATTAGAATTCATTTTTAAATTCTTGTATATATAATTCTAAGATATAACAGTAAATTAGAGTCTGGCACATAAGGTTTTTTTAAATAAAAGAGAAACTATAAAAATGCACATGAAATTACACTCATTAGAAGATATTTAATTTTTACATAAACTTGGATTTGCCACTGGTTAGATTTGAGTCCTCAAACATAAACTATATATAAATAAGGGTTGATGTCAATTAACATTATGCTAGACTTATGCCACGACAAACGCATCATAAAATAATACCACTCTTAAAGATATAAATTATGTAATTGCTAATAAATGTTTTTTCTTCTGAATAATTTTACCCTAGTAATTTTCTTCAACCTGACAGGGTTTCATGGAGAATTCGAACCATGAGTATATGCAAATGATAAGGTCAGGATTCATATTTTCCCTCAACTACATATTATAATCACTATGCTATCTTTGTTAAGAATTTTCTATTTATTATCACAAAAGGCATTCCTTTATGATATAACAACCTAAATGTCAGGGTTTTATTTATTGTATAAATATCTATCTGCATTAGTTCTAAAAAATTTATTAGCACTTTAAGGGCAGAACCCAAATACTGTAATACATTTACACAGCACTGAGTACATCATGCATAGTCTAAGTGTGTATAAAATACCAGCAATTGCACATGTAAAGAAAACTTACCAGACAGTTGTTTCCACTTGACTGTCATTGAGCTGCCGATTATCCAATTGGGGAAACAGTGGAAAAAGCACTTGAATCTGTCCAATTGAATGAATTGCACTATGAATTGAATGTGTTACTATCCCTTTCACATCCTATGTCTAAAACCAAAAATGTTTATTAAACTTCTATAGAATGATTTTCATCACTATTTCCTTGGTCCAAATACCTTTATAAGGGAATTAAATAACATAGTTGGACATTTTTGAAGCCTTCAATTATAATTTTTATACACACATAAGACAAAAAAGTGAGTACATTTGCTAATCACTTTTAAATTTCAAATCTTAGGTTGAGACATTTTTACACTAAAAATATGAAGTTAAAATCAAATGTTATTTTAAAACCAGAAATACTATTGATGGATTTAAAGACAAGTAATTTTAATGTTACAGAATATTAGTAATACAATCTTAAAGCAAAGTATGTTTTTATATCTAACAACTAACTTATTCAGTTAATTGATTTAATTTCAAAGGCTGTATAATATATAAGATAATAGATATGACAGATTTCCTACTAAGGAGACAAGGCCAGGGTAGAGCATATTGCTACAGAAAAGATAGACATTCTTTAAAGTTTCACTTAAAAGATCTGCAAAAGCCAAAAAAGAAACAAAAAGTCACAGATTTATAGATGAGCAATGTTTGATACATAAAATAAAGATACTGTTAAATTCTGACAAGAACATGAAAACACAGCCATGATTCACCCACCTGAAGCATTAGAGCATGTTGGGAATGCACAAAAATTGATGCATTCTCTTTTGGTGATGATTCCAGGCAGAGTTGAGCATCAGTGGCCTTAGCAGTATATGTAAAGGTAATGCTACTTGCAAGTTTCCCATCATACAAAACCTGTTTATGATGTTCTGCCAAATGAATATCACTCTCAGATTTAAACTTGAAGGTACTCTGAAAAAATAAAACCAAGGTAAACACTCTTTTTAAAAGCAACAATTAAAACTTAAAAGTTTTAAAGCAGAGAAACATTTGCAATAAGAAAGTACTTGTGTACCTTTCATGTGTCAGGGACTATTCAGTGGTGTTACTTACTTTGTTATTGTCACTTCAATTCAATGAGAGTTAAGTTTTATTATGCCAATAAAGATGCTCAGATCTTCATTTTCTAATTTAAAGTTTTTGATTACTGGCAAAATCATTTCATTAGAAAAAAATATCAAACCTGATATTATATATAATAGGATTTTACTTGACTACATCATAGCATAAGTTTAATTTTTATTATTAACACTTTAAAAAGTATTTATGTAAATAAGCAGTGCCTGACACATGAATTACTTATAAAAATGACTACCATTTGAGGCTATAAAAAGTTAATATGCAAAAATATTCATATCTTCACTAAAAAGCAAATCAATCTATGAAATACCAATGCTACTCAACAATAATATCACAATATACATACTAAACTCAGAAGAGAAGTTTGTTAAAACATGTTATTACTTTTTATGAAAGACAACTAAACATATGCCATCTATAACAAGAAAGGTATTGTCAGACATGGTTAAAATTGCTCTGCAGATATGAGTCTAATAATGATAAATGATATTTAACCTTTGCAATAATCACATATCAATATTACTATTACTTTCAACTTACAACTATGAAAGCTTAATGTTAAGAAATTAAGATGTAGAAGGGAAGGGGCCAGCATGTAATTCTAAGTCTTCTGATTTATAGTCCATATTCAGTGTATTGCTGCTGACATCAACTTAAAATCCTGACTCTGCCACTAATTATCTTTTTCAAGCTTAGGAAATCATTTAGCTGATGTGGCTCCAATTTTCTCACTCAATGTTATAATAAGGTTAAATCAAATGTCCCAAACTCAAGTTCTCACAGAAGGCACACAGATATGCATGTAAGTGAATTGGGCCAGATGGGGACTTCCTCAAACTAGAGAATGTTTGTCCTTTCTAAAAGTGGCCCCTACTCCTCAGCTCAAGTCAATTGTTCACTGTTGCTAGTTCTTCCATATTTTTCAAGAGAAACATGAAATCCGAATTTTTATCTAAAAGCACTATATTTTAAAATTTAATTCAAACATTTTAACACTGTGAAGACCAAACATGTCAGTTTTTACTTCTGGACTAGTGTGTAGAGACTAATACGAAACTGGATGCAAACTATTAATTATTAGGCATGTGCCAAGACAAGAGCAACATGAATAATTAAAAATCTGTGTATGTTGTAGTCTGAAGTATTTCATTGATAATACTTTTTTTTTGAATGAGGAAGGTAGTGTTATCACTAGAATGCTTAAGAACTCAGCATATCTGCATTCAAAAAAACAATGACTGAATTAAACACACAAGATACGTTGTTAAACACTAAATCAGCTTTCCGTGTCTGCATTTTACCACTGCGGAAACATTTGTACATCCCATTGTCTAGAACAAAACTCTTGCTTTCATTTTGTTCATACTGCTTACACTGGAATTAACAAGTTTTAATATATTATCTTAAAAGATTTAAAATACTTTTGTGGAAATGTAAGGTGTCTAATAAAACCTATTCTTATTTGGAAATACATTGGTCTTAGTTTTTCTGAGTCCATGATACATACCATACCCTATTTTGGTTTGTAGGAGGAAAACAAGTTTACGTAATTAAATCTAACATTTTCAGGTTAAAAAAAGTGTATAATGTAATTTAAATATAAACATGAAATCCATTAAATAAAGATAATTTTCTTATCTTCCCTTATTTGTAGTATTAGGTTATTTCTATGTCTTTAAATTTATATATAAAGGTGGACATGCGCAATGGCTCACACCTGTAATCTTAGCACTTTGAGAGGCCAAGGTGGGAGGATCACTTGAGGCCAGGAGTTTGAGATCAACCTGGGCAACACAGAGAGAGACCCCATCTCTACCAAAAAATTAAAAATTAGCTGAGTGCGGTGTCACATGCCTATAGTCCCAGCTCTTCAGGAGGTGAAGTGGAAGGATCACTGAGCCCAGGATTTTGAGGCCACAGTGAGCCTTGATCACACCACTGCACTCCACCCTGGGTGACACAGTGAGACCCTGACTCTCAAAAAAATTTAAAAAGAAAAAATTTTACATAAAAGTATAAGCCTTTATATAAATATCAATATTTATTGTATTATTTCTTTCAGAAGGATTTTCAGAGGAAGAATTGTTATATAAAACTGTATGAATAGGACATGGATGAGAATGAGGAGTGATTGCAAATAGGCAGGTAGGATCCTTCTGGGGTGATAGAAATGTTCTAAAATTAAATTGTAGTGATGTCTGCACAACTTTGTAAGTTTGTAAAAAATAATTGACTTGTACACTTAACATTAATGAGTTGTATGACATGTAAATTACACTTCAATAAAACTGTTATAATTATTTTAAGAGAAGAAAAGAATGTATGAATATATTTTGTACCAATTATACTCAAATGAGTAGAGTATGATGCATGCTTTTCAATACGGACCACTTCAGCATAACAAAGAAGGTGGGTGGAAGCAAAGTTATACTGAGCTAAGGAAATGACTCCAAGTGGTAACTGAATCCGCAGAAACAAATGAAAAGATTCATAAATGATAAATCAGAAGATCAATATAATAAAATCTACAAACATATACTGTATCTCCTTTCTTCTCTCAGCTTCTTTAAAATACACAATTATATGAAGTGATAATTATGTCATGTTGGGTTTGTAACATATACAGATACTATATGTATAACAATAATGTCACAAAAAACGGAGAAAACAAATAGAGCTATATAGAAGTAACATTTATATAACTCACTAGGATAAAATTAGTATAAATCTGAGGCTGATTCCAGTGAGTTAAGATGTATATGGTAAGCCCTAGTGCAATCACTAAGGAAATGTTTTTTTAAGTGAAAAAAATTATTTAAAAATTGAAAATGCTGTTTAAGAAAATAAGCACATAATCCAAAGAAAGCAGTAAAGAAGAAATAAAGAAATAAAAAGAACTTGAGACACATAGCTAACAAAAAGTAAAATGACACATGGAAACCTATCAATAATCACATTAAAGATGAATGAAATAACCAATCCAATCAAAAGGCAGAGATTGTCAGACTGGATAATAAAGTAAGATTCAATAACATACTGTTTATAGAATATTCAAAGATAAAAACATATTTAAAGTAAATTAAATGGGAAAAATATCAATAAATCACAAGAAAGCTGGAATGGCTGTGCTAATATCAGACAAAATAGATGTTAAACCAAGATATATTACTAGATATTAAAAAGACATTGGATAATGATAAAAGGGTCAGTCATGAGGAGGATATAGCAATTGTAAACATATGTGCACCTAACAGCAGAGTGTCAAAATACATGAAGAAACATCTGAAGAAATGAAGGGAGAAATAGACAAGTTAACAATAATAGTTGGGCACTTCAATACTCAACTTTCCATTCATAAGATCAAGAAAGAAACTGAAGATTTGAACAAAAACCAAACAGAACTAACAGACAACTCTAGAACACACCATCCCAAAACAGCAGAATACACATTCTTCTAAAGTACACATAGCTGGGCTCAGTGGCTTACGCCTGTAATCCCAACACTTTGGGAGGCTGAGGTAGGAGGATCACTTGAGGCCAGGAGTTCAAAACTAGCCTGAGCTTGCAAGACCCTGTCTCTATAAAAAGCTGAAAAATTAGTCAGACACAGTGGCTTGTGCCTATAATCCCAGCTACTCAGGAAGCTGAGGCAGGAGGATCACTTGAGCCCAGGAGTCTAAGTCTCCAGTGTGCTAGGACTGCACCACTGCACTCCAGCTTAGGTGACAGAAGGAGAGACCCTGTTTCCAAAAAATACGTACACACAAAACATTCTCCTGGATACACCAAACTCAGGTCATAAAACAAACCTCAATAAATTTATGAAGACAGATATAATACAAAGTATATTATCTGTCCAAACTGGAATGTTAGAAATCAATAATATAAGGGAATTTGAGGAATTCATAAATATGTGGAAATAAACACATTCCTAAATAACTGATGTGTCAAAGAAGAAATAATCAAAAGGGAAATTACAAAGTATTTTGAGATGAATAAAGGCACAAATACCAAAATATAAGCAGTTAAGGCACTTAGAAACTTCTACGTGTAAATGTTTGTATTTAAAAAGAGGACTTCAAATCAACAACTAAACCTCCCACTTTATGACCCTGGAAGCAAAAAAGCAAACTAAACATAAAACAAGCAGAAAGAAAAAAATAAAAAGAATTATAGAAGAACTTAATGAAATAGACAATAAGAAAACAACTGTGAAAACACAATAAAATCAAAAGCCAGTTCTTTGAAAAGATCAACACTACTAACAAGCCTGTACCTAGACTGACTAACATATTAATATTATTATCTCAACAGATACACTAAACATGTTTCACAGAATCTAACACTTTTTATAAGAAGCATTGAACAAACTAGGAATAGAATGGAATTCTAACTACCAAAAAAAGCATCTATAAAAAACCTACAGCCAACAACATAGTGCAATTTGTTGCAGGATGTCAGAGCATAAGACGGATAGGAAGGGTAGGTAGGAGAGCTGCCCAGTTCATGAAGTCAGAATTCCAAAAAAGTGATAAGGCGTCTACCTGAAACAACAAGGAAGAGGCAAGTGGGTTATGCCTTGACATAAAGTTTCTGAGTATGTGCAAGGTAAGGAAGATTAGGTACACTAAGGGCTTCTCTGTGTAGAGTCAGAGCCTGAAAAGGATGAGAAGGCATCTGCCTGAGAGGAGAGGGCAAACCATGGAAGGCAGCTGGATCTAGAGTGGGGATTGAAAATCATTCATTTGGTGTGTGGCTTGGCATGTTGGAGCCTGGGCAGCCAGAGAAGGGCATCCTCACAGGGGGTTGCCTGGCTCAGGTTGTTGTAGCCTGAGGAAGATGAGAAAATACGCACAAAGGGAAGCAACCAGGCAAGGGAAGGCACACCACCAGCAGGGCAGAGAGCACATTGCCCAAAGGAGTAAGCCAGGATGGGTTGTCAAGAGTTCTAGAGAGAGGGTAGCATCTGAATAAGAGGGCTGCCCAGCAGGAGGTAAAGAAACCGGGGGCTCCAGAAGGATATAGGGAAGGCATCAGCTCAACAGCCTAGCTCAGTGTATTGTGCTAGAACTGAGGAAGGGTTAAGAGGGCATCCATGATGGAAGGTAATCAGAAAAGAAGCCAACACCTGCCTCAGGTGAAGAGGGCATCCATATAGAAAATGAAGGAAAGACTGAGAAGCTGTTTGATGCATTATAATGTAAATGCAGTAAACTGGATCTTTTTACTATAAAATATATTATACAACAATTAGCAAAATTTTAAAGGGGTCTGATAATTAAATGGTAGTAACAAATCATTGCTAATCTCTTGATTTTATGTTATAGAATAATTATGTGAAAGAATGTTCTTGTTTGTAGGAACACAACATTCAGGAATGATGGAGCATCATGTCAGTAGTTACTCTCATGGTTCAGGAAAAAAACTGACTGGCATAGTGCTTGTAGCTTTTCTGTAGTTTTTATTTTACTTTTAAATTTTAAAATGTGAGAGAAAGAAGGAGATAAAGATTTAAGAGAAAATGAAATAAAATAAGTGATTTAAGAAAAAGATAAGCAAAGTAAATAAACATGCATAGTCAAGTCTCTGGAGAAGAAAACCAAAGCAAGGAAAGAGAAGAAATTCTAAAGTTGTAGTATAAGAACAATTTCTTAAAATATGAAAAGATGGAAACTACATATGAAAGTGCACACCACATACCTGAGAAATTAACTCAGAATGACCAACACCAAGACATGTCTACCAAAATTACTAGATTTAAGGAAAAAGAAAAAAAAATCCTTTGAACATCTAACAAGACTGAGTGTCTTGTAATGGAAAAGATATTACATTGTCAAGAGACTTTCAATACTAATACCTCATGCTAGGGAAAAATTAGTAGCATATTTAAGACATCCAAAGAAAGAAAAAAAAGTCAAGGATTTTATAACCAGGCAAAATGACTTTCAAGTAAAAAATATAAAGTGCCTTACACACTAGTATCAAAATGCATTTCTCAAGAAATACTGTTTCCATGAACTCTTCCTGAGGAATCTACTACAGAAAGAGCTAAAACACAGCCAAAACACATCAATATAAGGAAATAATATAAGCCCTAAACACACAGGTACTTATAGGACTATGATTAAATAACAGTTAAGAGAGAATGGTATGTAATAACTGTTGTGCTCACTATGTAGATAAGACTTTGTATTAGCTTGCTGGGTCTGCTATGACAAAGTACCAGAGTCTGGATGGCTTAAATAAAATAAGTTTATTTTCTCATAGTTCTGGAGGCTGTAAGTCTGACATATGGGTGTAAGCAGGGTTTTCTTCTGAAGACTCTCTCCTTGGTTTGAAGACAGCCTAACTACCTTTTCTTCCCTGTGTCTTCACATGGTCTTTCTTTTGCATGTGTCTGAGTCCTAATTTCCTCCTCTTTATAAGGATACTAGTTATACTGGATTAGGACCCAATAACCAAAATGACCTCACTTAATCTTAATTACCTCTTTAAAGACCCGCCTCCAAAAACAGTCACATTTCAGGCTACTGAGGGTGAGAATTTTAATGAATTTTAGGGGAACATAATTCACCTTGTAACGCCTCAACTATTTTAAAAATGGCAAGAGGGAGAATGAAGAGAACACATTCAAAAACAAATTAACTACATTTTCAGTAATTATAACAATTGGGCATTATTGGTATTATTATTCTGAGGCTGTTCTTTATGTATAATTATGGGATTTTCTCATCTATTATCCTGTGTGTATTTGACAGTCAGTATCCTCAATGAAGAAAGGAGATTTAACTTCAAGTAGGTCAAGTTAAAACACCACACTCTCCTGCTTTTTCTCCTTATTCCCTTGCTCTCCTCTTTCTCCTTTGCTGGTTCCTCTGCATCTCCCCAACCTACAAACACTGGCTTTCCCAAGGACTCATTTCTCAGTTATCTTTTTCTCTGAACTCACTTCATTGGTACCTAAATCCAGTCCTTTACCTTTAAATCCTGTCCATATCCTGCCAATGCCAAATTTCTATCTCCAACCTAGACGTCACCTCTAAACTCCAGACTTACTTCATTTTTCCATTTAGATGTTTATCAGGCATCTCAAACAACTATGCCCGTAACCTATGTCCATAACCTAATATTTGATCTTCTCCGCCACAACTTATTTCTTCATAGTCCTCCCATCTCAGTAAATGACAACTCCATCAGCTCAGTTGTTCAGGCTAAAATTCATGGGGTTACTTGCTCCTCTCAATCCTCTCTTGCTCCCTTACTCCATGTTCACAGTGACAGAAAATCCTACTGGCACTACCCCCAAAGTATACCCCAAAGCTGACCTTTTAGAGTCTTAGATATTTTAGATATGCTTTATCAAAAATCTAATCAAGTCTCAATACTTTCCAGAGCTCTTTCACTAAATAACTGCAACAGCCCCCTAACTAGTCTCCCTATTTCCACCTTTTCTCCCTATTTACCATAGTAACCAGTGTGATCCTTTTCAAATTGGTATCAGGCCAGGACACTCAAAACTTTTCAATGGCTGTCCCTCTCACTCAAGAGCAAAAATAAAGTCATAACAATCCTCTGAAAGCATATAGTTGTTCCCTGAATTAATCTTTGACTCTCCCCCTTGCTCCTTCTGTGACAGTCACAGCAAAACATAGTCACAGTGTTCTTTAATCTGTGAAGTAAGCTTCTGCTAATGGCCTTCATGCTTGCTCTGGCATTTACCCTTAAAGCTCTTAACCGGATATCCACTTGACTAGCCTCAACTTCCATCTTACCTGCTTTGTGTGTCTCACAGCTCTTATCACCATATAGACACTATATATTTTTCTTTTGTTTTGTTATGTCTTCTCCCATGATACTGCACACCCTACTTCTCCAAGATACAGGCATGGGGTTTTTGTTGGTTTTGTTTAATTGTTATATCCCTAGCATCTAGAACAGTGCCCAACTGTTTAATAAAAGAATGAATGGATGAATTAGTGAAGGCTAATTATTTGTATTTAGTTAGCATTGATTTATTTTGTTTTTCCATTCAATTGGGCTTTTGTTATCTTTAATTTGAAAGAGGGGTCTACAGCATATGCTGTGGGTAAATGAAATACTGGATACATACCTATCATTCAAGAAAAGACATGCAATTTTGACTTTGATAATTTTGTTTTAGCCATTGAATTGTAGTCAACATCATTCTATCAAGACACATTGCAAAATACGTAACTTTTCAACTACATAGGTGCATTTATAGCCTCTCTCCAAATCTTTCTGCTAGTTATCATATGTATTACATTTATATACTCTGAATCATCCAGGTTTGCTTCTTCAGTCAGTAATGAGAGTCAAATAACAACAAATTTTTTAAATTTTCTTTCAAAAGACTCAAAGAATATTTTCACTGGATAAAAAATTCTAGGTTGACAGATTTTTTTTCTTTCTTTCAGAACTTTAAAGATTTTGTTCCACCTCTATGGCTTCCCTGCTTTCTGATGAGATGTGTACAGAAATTCAAATTATTGTTCCCTTATCAGTATCTAGTTTTCCTCTGCCTGCTTTCAAGGTTTTCTCTTTATCTTTGTTTTTCCACACTTTGACTGTAATGTGCCTACTTTGGTTCTCTTTGCATTTATTTTGGTTGGAGTTTTCAGAGTTTCTTCAATCTATAAACATAATCCTTTTATCAAATCTGAGAAGTTTTCTATCATCATTTATTCAAATATTTTTTCTGGCTCTTTCTCTTATACTGTGCCTATTAGACCTTTCAAAACTGCCCCCATACATCTCTAGGGTTCTATTTTTTCACCCCAATCTTTCATAACTCTCTTCAGATTTTCTGTCAATCTATATTCAAGTTCATTTACTTCTCTATAATATTAATTCTGCTAATAAGCCCATACAGCTTATTTTTAATTCTGATATATTTTTCAGTTCTAGAATTGCCATCTGATTTTGTTTTATTTCATGGCTGATACTTCCTATCTTTTAATTCATTATAAGTAAACTTTTCTCTACCTCGCTAGTTACAATAAGACCTCATGTGATATTTCCAACATGTGGGTTATCTTAGAGTTGGTATATGAGGATTTACTCTTCCCTTGAGAATAAGTCACATTTTTTCTGACCATTTTTAGAATAAGTACTTTTGGATTATATGCTAAATAGTGTGACTATTACTCTGTACAATATTATAGAGAAACTTTCTAGCCAGAAAGTTTCCTATAAAAGCAAAAAATGGGGATATCAGTCCATGTAGACAGACTGTTCCATATTTTGACTACCCTCCGAAGCTTGCCTGCTTTTATTCAATCTCCACAACCCTCAGATAGATATTATCTATATTATGTGCAGAGTTTACAAATGGTTATTTGTGAGAAGATCAGTTTGTTAGGAGTTCACCCCTCCACACAAGTACTGGAAGTCCTCTGAAGTGATTTTTAATTTTGGAGGTTGTGTTATACTTTTTCTCTTATCAGTTAGAACTTTATTATGATATAGCAAATTATAAAAACCATTATGCTATCATATTCATAAATGAAAGAGAGAACTCAAAACTAAATTTTCAAATATCTGGCCATGAAGACTAACTGCTTGCTACACGGGATTAACAAAACAATGAGAAAATGTCTAGTAATAATTATAAAATATAAAACCTTTGTTAAAATCTGATTTGAAGCTTATGTCAAAGGGCCACCTCATACAGAATCTTGAAGACATTAAATAACCCCAAATAGAGATCCACAGTAAACTTATGTGGTAGTAAATTTTACTATACTAGACAAATCTACAGTGAGATTTTCTGTATTTTAAATATTTTCTGTATTTCTGTATTTTCCAAACTGAATGGTTTATTTAGTTAATAAGTGATACCCTAACTTATTTACCATTTCCAGAAAATAACCAAGTACAGAATACTTACTGATAAGCTGCAATGCTCAAATCCAAATATTCAACAGAAAAAAATTTACCTAGCACTACAGTGACCAACAAGTCAAAATCATTTGTGACAGGTTCTATTGAATATATAGTTTGATGACATTATTTGAAGGTAGAATTAACTTATTTTATTAACTTTGAAGCCCATATGTTGACATGCTACCTACACTAAACTCAGAATCATAAATTTTGTCTGACCATTACAATGAAAGAAAGTTCCATATAACTTAAGGCAATAAATATAAATACTATGTTATTATACAACACTAAGTAATCTCCATTTGTGATTTATCCAAATGTCCATTAGTTATTATATTCTCTACACCTTAAAAATTCCACTGTAGCCCTCTACCCCTTCTCTCACAGAGAGTGACTTTACCAAGATAATTGTAACTATAATGTGTGAACTACTCAGCTTTTCTGTCAAAACACAACCCGATCATTTGCATTCCTCCTTCTCTATGCTCTCTGAATTTCTAAAAAAAAAAAAAAAAAGCTTTTTAATATAAAAAAATTTTGCTGATGCCTGTCATGGTGCAATTGTACTTATAATATTTACAAATTTATCTACTTTTACTGACATGGGATCCTGAATAACATCATCTCGGACTCAGGGACTCATTTTATTCAGCAGTAGAAGTGTGACAGAGGGCATGTGACTGTGGGACTCATTTTTTCTACCATAATCTATATTAAGTGACTTATTAAAGGCTCAGCTAAAAAACCAGTTCAGGATGATACACTTACAAAGGTAGCTCTGTTCTCCAAAATAGTCTATACACAGTAAATATTCAATAACATTATGTGGTCTCCTATAGCTGGTCTCTAATAGCCAACAACATGGGTCTGGGAACAAAGAGTGGAAATACAATTGGTGTCCTTTATTAAAACTCTTAGTAATCCACTTGCAGAATTTACGAGTCCCAGCTCCACTATTTTAGGTTTTGCTGGATCAGAGGTCTCAGATTCCAAGGACAGGGTAAGCAATCAACCAACCTGAAGATACAATTACAACTCTGGTCACTTTGGGATCCTCATGCTGGTAGGGCAACCCTCAAAGAAAGGAGTGAGTAGCCAGGAGAAATAACCACAATCATCATGAGTAGCTAGAGATGGTGTTACAGGGAGCAGGGACAGGGAGGCATAATCTAGAACTTGTGTTCAGTGGGATCACCTCTTGGTGCTCCCATCATCAGTGACAATAGTCAACATGCAACTGCAGCAACTAACCAGAGCCACCAAAGGTACTCAGACCCTAAGAGGTGAAAGGCAGGGTCATCTAATCTGGCAAGCTCCCAGAGCAGCTAAAGGTCTGGCTGAGGGAAGAAAGCGGGGAGTGAAGGGGGAGAGGACAAAGTCTAGTGTTGACCTTGGTACTAGCTGTGCAGTGGGATGTTTGCTTGTCCTACTACTTACTGTGTGTTTGTTAGGGATTATGCTGGCCACCTCTTTGAATAGGTGACAAAGTTTATCAGGTAGCCTCTGTAGATCCAAGCCATGTGAAGGTGAACCAATGCAAATGCTTTCCATGTCCTCCATTCTTCTCCTGGGCCCACTTCTGACTTTAACTATGCTGTGGTGAAGAATCTGTGTGCATGCCGCCTGTACCCCACCTCAATCACCCTCTGTTCCTCTCTCTGTTTTTCGGCCTTAGGATTTTTTCTTTCTTTCTTCTTCTTTTTTTTTTTTTTTTTTTGGTAAGAAACAGAAGCCCTTTTCAGCCCCAGATAGAGGCAGGCACAGCTAAGAAGAAACACAAGGGAGTTAATTAATACTCCTAGGGACAGCTCTCAGGCAGTGGCGGATGGCAGCTGGTGTGTGTGTGCTTTTTTTTCCCTTCAGCTCTGAGAGGCATCCTCACAGCTGCAACCTACATTGTGGACTCTTTATTGGATTTTCTCCCTCTCCATCTTGCTCTTCCTGCTCCTTCACTTCTCTTTCATTTTTTCCAACTTTGTTGAGATATAGTTAACAAATAAAAATTATATACATTCAAAAAAAAATTTACAAATTGAGAAAATGCATGTACCTGTGGATTTATGATCAACCCCCACTAACAACAAGGGTGCAGTAAGCTGAGAACTTTCAAAACTTAATAAAATACTATCTGATGTAATGCCCAAACTTACAGGTATATCTCTTAAAAGTTCTGGCTTTAGGTACTCTATTGTGTGTTAGGATACTAAGAATACTCTACGTCACATGAGCTGTGCACACATGATGACCAGGTTACTGCTCATTATCACTGTTGTTAAAAAGAATGACGAGAAAGGCGTGTGAAAAGAATACTACAAACTACAGAGTTTGCAAAGCTGTTCAGGACAAAGTTTGCTTCTTTGTGAATAGAATTACAAAATCGCTTATATTCAGCCTTTTTCCTTGATGTTGCCAGGAAGCTCCCATCAATTCTGATATTTCACATTAGCAATCATATCGGATTTGTATTTTCTTGATATTCTACCTTTTTATATTTTATTTGTTTGCTTGTCACTCTATTTAATATCATTCTATTAGAGCTTAAAAAGACACTGCAAGTATTTTATGAAACAACTCAAAGAAGTAGGAAAGAAAAGCAAGCAGCATATTAATAAAAAATGTGAATTACAAAAATATTCCTATGCAAGATCAACAATGGAAGAACCAGGATGCAAACCCAACACAAAGACCCATGAAAGAAGAAATAGCTGGACAAGCACAAATTCATTTCTAGAGCTAGTAAGACAAAAACAAAAATGATATGGAAAATATATGATAGCAAGTATTGTTACCTTGACATAAAAATAATAGCATTATTATTCTTCAATATTATTATGGTTATTAAAGTCACTGAGAAAAAAAGATCTTTTAATATGGGTAAATTCAAACTTTCCTCTCTCTCTCTCTCTCTCTCTCTCTCTCTCACTCTCTCTCTATATATGTGTGTGTGTGTGTGTGTGTGTGTGTGTGTGTGTGTATGACATAAAAACAAAAAGAGAAATACCAATGCAAAAATACAAAGGCCAAAGAGGGAATTTTTAAAAATATTTTTCCTTTCCATAACACAATCTTCACATTAATTATTTAAATTGAGTTCAATAAATAAACCACACTTCCATACAAGACAAGTACTCCTTCAGAATTATAAACACTTTGACTATAATGTGTAATTCTCTTTCAGCTCCAAGTAGTTTGAGACTTCACAATTCCCAATGTGATTTAGACAGAACCTTTATATATTCCCCTATCCAGGTGTACTGCACATTTAAAACTAACTCATATATGTGCATGCTATATCTTACCTAGAGTCTTTGTTCTTAAAGTTTAAAAAACAGAAAGAATATTATAAATTACATTAAATAATTAGTTTTGCTAAATTAGTTTACTCACTACTGTACCTACTTCCTCACTGCAATTAAAGCAAAAATATAAACTAAAATTAAATAATTTTAGGCCCATGAAGTATATTATCTTAGATTCCTTCTAAATCTTTAACTCTTCTTTCCAAGTTACCAGTAATATTAACAAGTTCTTTATTATGTTTACTATGTAATATATATATTTCAAATTTTTGTATTATAAATACTACATTAAGCAAAATAGTTTTATAAGATTTATTATTTCAGAACTGTTAACAAAAGGCATGCTATCAATATTAGAAAATATTCTGAAGAATAAAAAAGTTTATAAAGAGAAAACAGTTGAGAAAAAAGCATCTTTGAACCAAAAAGAAACACATAATAAAAACTGACTACAATCCAAAAAATAGAAATGACTCTTAAACTGTATTAAAGAAAGATTTTCACTAAAAATTATATTACATCACATTTTACATCTGAAATGCTCCATAGAATTTATAAAATTATAGTTATTACTACCTTATATCTAGGTCCTAACTGATGAATTGCAAATATCTGTGCTGGGTTGAGTGCTTCACTGAACACATACACGGCACCAAGTTGACCACAGAATACCCTATTTGCATCAGCAGTTTCTGATGATCCAAGAAAGCACTTGTCATAGCTCTATTTATAAAAGTCATTAAAAAAGCATCATTTTTAATGATGAAAAGGTTTAAATCCTTAAATCAACCTTTATGAATATTTTAAAATATAACAATAATAATAGAGGAGAGCATCAATGAAGACTTTATTATTTAAATAATAAATGCCAGCCAAGTTTTTTTGGGAAAAATGATCAATTACATTTTTTACACTTATGTTTAAGCAAACAGTAGCCATCTACTCAATCTTCTGACTTAACACTTTTCAAATATTATAGTTAAAGACAAAATAGCTTATAATTATTTACAAACATTAAAATAATTTAAAACTGTAATGATGTATAATTATCCATATATAGAGAGATTGATCTGAATCAAGGGAATGACTATTCCAAAATGTAGTGAACACATAGGGTCTAATTTTTTTATTCTCCTTTATTTTTGAAATTATGAATCTATTCCTCTATTCCTCCGTATTTAGTAAAAGACACAAAGAAAATAAATCCCCTCTCATATATGAGTAGGAACTACACAGAATCAAATAAACAATAAGACTAAAATCTGCTGCTTAAAGCAGATGGTACAGTGCCCTCCACATTGAGGAATTCAGCACTGAAGAAGCCAAAAGCTTAACAAGATCTTTCCAGCCTCTACTTCTTACACCCCACTCACCCAAACCAGGGAAAGCAGTCATGGCTCAGTTCCCTTCCCCTATCCCCAAAGGCTATTTCACACCTTAGAATGAATAAGCAAGAATTATATATGTAAGAAGTACTTTTGGTACTTCAATAAAGTAACAAAAAAAATTGTGAATGCGTACAAAGGCAAAAAGAACTGTCATCATTAAATACCCAATCTTTAATTAGAAGTATAGGAACTTAAACTTTAACTGCATAAAGTATGTATATATGTGTTATTATCTAGAATTCTCCACTTCTTAGGGCACTATTATAAATAACCAAAAAACTAAGTATTTTCTTTCCAAGATACTGTCTTATCATTGAATGAGTCAAGAAGACCACTGGGATTTCTTCCACTCTATAATAAAAAGACTCTGGAGAGAAGATCTCCTCTGGAGAGAAGATAAAAAGCAGAATTTCATCTGTGTATTCTAATTCTGAAAACAACATTCCATTAAATATTAATTGGTTGTGGCACAACCATGAGTTTCTATGGCAGGGAAAAGCAACTTTTTCTACAAAGGGACAGACAGAAAGTATTTTAAACTTTGCTTGCCACACCTGGTTGCTGTCCCATTCTTCTTTGATTTTGTTTGTATCTCAAGAAAAAAACAAACAAACAAAAAACCTTTAAAAATTAAAAGCCAAGAGTCTTTGCCCCCAGCTTACACGAAACCAGAAACAGGGGGAGGGTCAGATTTGGTTCATAGGGTGTAGTCTGCCAAGCCCCGATCTAGGGGACAACCTATGGACCATACACACAGTGCTAGTTAAAAGAATACAAGACAGGATAAGCAAATCCCTGCCCTTTGGGAGATTAAAGCCTATAGACATGCAAACAAAACTGAAAAATGAATTGTATTTAAGAGGTAAGTTCTTATAAAACCAGGTAAGCGTGAAGGGTTGTATATTATTGAGCTTGCAGGTACTTTCAGCATTAAAACAAACCTTTTACTTTGGCTCTGACAGGCCAGAATGTAGACAATGGAAAGCCCAAAGTAGAGAAACCGTAAGGACACTTGAGGTTTTAATTCGAGTTTTTCACTATCTAGAATCCAACTGTGTCACTTCTTCCACTGCTAACATACTGGTAGAAACTAATATAATCTCTTTGTTTTATTGCAATAAGCCATTTAAGTGATTTTCCTGCTTCTGTAATTTCCCTTCAAAATATTGTCAATACTGCAGGCAGACTGATGCTTTTAAAATATAAGCACACATCACTTGTCTGCTGAAAACCTTCCAAGGATTTTTAAGCTGAGTAAGATGCAAAAGCCCAGGCCTTATGTTTGCTTATGAAGGCCAAAATGATTTCTGCCTAACCTTATCTCTTAATATTATTCTGCTTCTACCTACCTCTGCTCCAGACAAATTGCCTTTTCCTTGAACTTTCCTATTCTGCCTCAAAGCCTTTACACTCACTGTTCCCACTGGATAGAAGAAGTTCCCCACATACCTTGCTTGTTCACCTCTTCCTACTAAAATCATCTCTGGACCATCCGGCTCCCCCCTTCCCTACAACTACACTTTCTGTATCCCCAATTTATTTTCTCCATAGCATTTATCACTATGTAATTAATAATAGTGACTATATGTTACACTTCTGTTTAGGGTCTTCTTTCTATATCTAAATAAGGGGTAAACCACATTTTTTAGTGCTTGATGCTGGAATAAATAGAATACAGGATTCGCGGTTTTTTATCTAAAAAACTTAAAACTTTGGCCAAATGTTCCTGTTTTTGCATCCCTAATCATGTCTTTTAGCAATTTTCTTATATTAAATTTAACAGTGAAAGATTTGTTTAATAAAAAGAATAAACTTCCAAAGTTTTAAGTTTCTACCAAACTATTTTATTATTCAATTCATTTTGTAATGATAGATCATACTCTCAAACAAATTAAAACACAGAGAGAAAAATAAAGACTTACGTCATTTGTGTTAACATGCCAAGCCATATCACCATAAGATACCAGTTGTCCATTAACATAACACTGAATTTCACTGTTTCTCCATCGATTGTAAATGTGGACAATGCTGATCATGTACCACTTAAATAAAAAAATTAAATATATCAATATGTAATGTTTGGTTATTATGGTCTAAAATGCAATTATAATATTCATAAAACCCTACAATAATATGCTGACAGGACTATTAATGATCATCTAATACCACTTCCTCAAGTTCCCCCTCCCATCCCTCATTTCACAGATGGTAGAAGTGGCACATAAAGAATATTCATGGAGAAGACAAGAACTACAGCCCCTTGACCTCCAGAGTAATATTCTTTCCACTATACCAAGATTCAAAATTGTGGAAATACAATTCATTTGTGTTCATTCATTTAAAATTTACATTGTGCCAGGCACTGCAGATACCCAAGGCTAACCAGTTCTCCTAGAAGTTATGAGCTATAAAAGAAATATATATGACACAATTAAACAAATGTAGAATTATAAATCATGGTGATTACAGTGAAGAGAAAAAGAACAGTATAAACTGAAAAAGAATAAAGTAGGATTCTACTTTGGATTACATGGTCAGGAAAAGATCTGTCAAAGAAACAACATCTTAGCATTTATAATATGATTTAGGTAGTTTCAATCTCACAATTAAGATTTAGTAAATCCAGTGATAATTATATATTTAATAACTTAATAATGTGTGTTTATTAAGAATCAATAAATGAGTTCATATTAAGTGCCCATTTTATAGTTACTGCTATCAAATAGCATTTTAAGTATCTATTTTAATATGGATGGTTTGATTTCTGAAACAACCTTTAGTCTCTTGAGAGTTAATATCCTAAAATAGAGAATATAGAAATATTTTTTTCTAAAGTATAGAAAAATACAAATGATTTATAAACATTTGAACAAGTATGCTTTCTGAAGTTAAGGGGGGAAAATTAACTGGTTTCTCCCTCCTACCAAAATATAAAACACAAACTTTGTTCTACAGATTACTTCAATGCACTATTCAATTATTTCATATATATTTTGAGAAATAAAAAGTTATAATAATCCTTAATCACTAAAATATTAGTCATTTCAAGGTATCTAAAATACTTTGAGCAAAATTCAATTTTTTTCATTTCAATTTAGAAAATAAAAATAGGCAGGGCACGGTGGCTCATGCCTGTAATCCCAGCACTTTGGGAGGCCAAGGTGCGCAGATCAACTGACGTCAGAAGTTTGAGACCAGCCTGGCCAACATGGTGAAATCCCGTCTCTACTAAAAATACAAAAATTAGCCAGGCGTGGTGGCATCTGCCTGTAATCCCAGCTACTCGGGAGGCTGAGGCACAAGAATCCCTTGAACCTGGGAGGCAGAGGTTGCAGTGAGCCAAGATTGCACCACTGCACTCCAGCCTGGGCAACAGAGCAAGACTCTGTCTCAAAAAAAAAAAAAAACAAAAAACAAAAAACAAAAAAAAACAGAAAGAAAAAGAAAAAGAAAAAAAATAGTGTGTTAAAGAACTCAAAAAAGTCAGTAATACAAAACAACAGTGTAAAGGTCAAGACATTTAACTGTCTAAAATGCACATCCTTTTTAAGGTTTTTCATTCCAGGAAATCATTAATTTATTGCAAACTAAGTCTTTCACTTGATTCGAAACTGACATATATGTTAGCCCTGATTAAAATTAGAAGAGAAAATCTTTAAAGTAGTCATTTAACCATTGTTTCTAAATATTACAAAATTATCAAGAAGAAACCATAAAAAAGAGCTTCAAATAAATTTAAGGAAAATCTTACAGAATTTTACATGTATAAGAATTAGTTTGCACATATTACCTTCACTGAGTTTGAAACTATCCAACAAGAATGCTATCTACATAACACAGAAGACACAATCTTTATATTCTGGAATAAAATGTGTAATAACTTTACATTTCTAAAGAGAAGAGACACAAATAAATACCTATATATAGGCAAAGATTTCCTGCCCAAAGACAATTTTAAGATAAATACTAGATATATTATTATACTTATTGGTGTACTTACGATAAAAAAAGTACTCATTCAAATAATACTTACTGAGTTCTTACTACTTCAGATAACTTAATGTACTGGGCAGGATAAATTTTACTTCCTAAAGACATGAATTGGGTTCCCAAATTACTAGCTCTATGGCTTTTGGCAAATTACTTAGCATCTCCGAATCTATTTTCATCTCCCTGAAAAAGGGGAATAATAATGCCTACTTTGTGGATTCCTTGTGAATATTATAAACAGATAATACATGAAAACTACGAAGAAAAGTTCCCAATGTATTCAGCACCCATAAATAACACACCATTAACTAAACTACTATTATGATTTTATCTACTATGTCCTCATGATGAGGTTCATTTATGCTAAAATTGATTATTATTTACCTTTCAGAGTATTTCATTCATTCAAAAAATGTACTAAGAGCCTACTTTATGCCAAGTACCCTGTCCCAACCTTGGATCATGGATATATAAAGACAGACAACATATACACACTCAAGGAAGTTTCACTAGAGAAACAGTTATGAGAACAATAGAGAATATCTAAAATACAGATTTGAGAGTAATAAAAGTAATTACTATAAGTAACAGGGAAAGAAAGACAAATAGAGAAGAAAGACTATCATAGAAGTATTCACTAAAAGAATAAAATGAACCATAAGACTATGCTTGAAGGATGAAAAGGAATTGTTCAGTAGACAGGGGTAAAAAAACATTCCAGGTGGAATCTTAATATGATACAGCACAGATGCTTGACAAAACTTTCTTCAGTGTGTAGGTTTAGCAGGAAAAAAAAAAAAAAAAAAAAAAAAAAAAACAGGCGAAGACCAGATTGTAAACAGACCTTTAGGAAACTGGCCTTTGTTTTTTTGCATAACGTGGTATAACTAAATAATTTTGAGCAGGAAAGTTAAACGATCAGCTTCATAGTTAAGGAAAATAGCTGGCAGCAATTTGGAGGTGAGATAGGTAGGCAAGTGTGGACAAAGATAAAACTGAAAAACCACTGCAAAGGTTTGGGTAAGACACCATAAGCTGCTGAACTAAGAAAAAGGCATTAGTAATTTTAAAATGAGGATGGGAATTAACTAACAGAAATGATAGGAAGTGTTAACATATAACAGGGGAGTCTAAGATGGATTCCAATTTTCACTTAGATGGGTAAGGGTACCATTAACTTAAGATCATTAATACAGAAAAATTAATCAGATTTGGAGTTTATCAAGGTTTGCTTTTGGTTGTAACAATAATATATGATAAAATTAAATGAATGCACTGATGAATTAATGAACTGATCTCAGTTAAGACCATAGTACTTATTTATAAGAAAAGTAACTTTTCTCTTTCCTTGATACATCAAACTGTACTCTACAGATAACAGACACAAGTGAGTTTTTCAATGGTTAAAAAAAAGCCTAACTTTTGACCTGATATACATTGACTAAAGAAAATAAAAATAAACTTGGAAACTACCTGTGCATAGTGATATTATGTATATATAGTGAAGTCTGCATTTAGTTTGAGACTCAAAAAGAAATTTATAAAAGAAGGACACAACCAGAAATAAGAAAAAAATAAAGTTCCATATTAAGAATCCACAAGATATATATTACAAATTGAAGATATGGAAATAAATTGAAGATAAAAAAGTACAGATGATATCAATAGTAGCTAATATGTCTAGAGCACATATTACCATTAGATAACATGCTAATGGTTTATATCCATTTTCACAAGTTCTAACAGCTGGTAAGTGGTGCAGCTGGGAAAGCAAAAGTTTTAATGTAAAGATTTCTTTTTGAAAGGCCAGTAAATCTCTTATTAGGAAGGATAAC
This sequence comes from Homo sapiens, assembly GCF_000001405.40. Taxonomy (NCBI): domain Eukaryota; kingdom Metazoa; phylum Chordata; class Mammalia; order Primates; family Hominidae; genus Homo; species Homo sapiens. Next base: position 33,013 of record NT_187528.1, on the reverse strand, counting down.
AACAACTTAGCTAGGGCATCTGTGGGAAATTAAAGAAAGGAAGAAATAAGAGAATAAATTTATTTTGAATAATGAAGCACAATAAAAGCAAATACTTATGACTTTTCCAGGTTTGTGAGAATCTTCACAGAAGACTTTTTAAAATCCACATCATTCTCTGGCCCTGCTGCTAACTAGACCCCTTAGAATCATTGCATATTGAGAGCTTTACAAAGGAGAATGTGTTTTCCACAAGTAAACAGTGAAGAAAACACAAAATAGAAAAAGTGAAAACAAATGGGTTAAAGCGCTTTTTATTGGTTAATGACAATTTCATTTGGTTATAACTTCACCCTAATTGTTTGCATGTATATTCTTTAAACCACTGTTTCCTAAAACTGTCTGATGAGAAAGTTACCTAAATATTTGTTAAAAACACACAATCCTAACATGAAAAATTATAATACCAACAATCTGTACTTCTAATCAATTCCACTGAAATTCAAAATAATTTGGCAATTTTAGCAAACTATCTTGGTCTCATCTTAGTTTTAGTAAAACAGAATTTCCAGAGCAAAGGCAATGTGATTGGTATTAAAGTAATCAATTTGCATTAAAAAAGAAAGAATACACCATTATAATGAATGAATATATTTATTCAGGTCACTGCTTTTTAAGCTATTTTCTAAGTATATATTGATGAATTATTGTTAAATTGATATTCTTTAATAGAAACTACAATTACTGACATTAAATATAAAACAAATATTTTCATTAGAATCATGCAAAATCTAAACAAATTTTTGAAAATACCACCCAAAATATTTTTTTTCTGTATATGACAAGACACACATCAGATCATAAGCAACAAGAAAACAAAAAAGATATGAAAAAGATATAAAGACCTCCCCCTCACCACATTTGGATTCATCATATCTATTATGATTGTACCATTAATCACAAAGGGTAAGGTGATATTTCTGTTAGGAGGAGGCAGTGTGCCCTAAAAAGCATTGACAATCTCATTGTCATATACCCAAGAAAGAACCCTGAACCTGGAAGGGGAAAAAAGCCTTAAACGTGTGTGACGGGAACTCCTACGCACTCTGTCCTTGTTTTCTTTCATCTCGACTTTCAGTTGGCTTGTTACTCTGACACAAAGATGGAGTCCGGTACACAGGCAGGAAAATCTCTCTAGAAAATGCCACCTGATTATGAATGAATTATCTCTTATAATTCTAATTATACAGTTGCACATTTCTCTGCATTTTCTCTTTACAGCAGTTTTTAAAATGTGTTTTGACCTTGTTTTTGCTATTATTTGGGATATTAAGTAAAGACACATTTCATGAGCCAAAACTAACAGTACAGCAACATTCCATTCCTTGAAGCCAGCATTACTAAAGCATCAGAAATTAACAAAACCTCCAATCTTAGGAAACAAGATTCAGAACTACCAGGATTAGGTGAATCTCCCACAAGAAAAGTATCTGTGCATTGCTTAATCTGGGGGTTTAACATTTAACTTTTTTAAAAAAGAGGCAAAGATTTATAACTCCCTAGTGCCTACAATGGTGTCCAATACTCAGTAAATAATAAGTATCTATTGAAAGAATGCCATAGAACAGATCAGACTGAGACGAGAGAATGTAAGAGAAATACACCACAAGAGATCAAAGCACTGATCTTATAGAAGACAAAAATCAGACATAAAAGTAAAAAGAAAATGCAAACTAGGATAAGAGAAAATCATTAAAAGCATAGGAAAGCCAGTGAAAGAGAATACTACAGAGGTCATAAAAGGATAGTTAAGAATTCTGTCGTAACAAGTGAGTTACAAAAATATTTACTTTTACCTGCCTTACGTGGTTGAAAATCATATTTCACACAATGCTGAAAACATTTTCCTTTGGACTTCAATGATGTGACTATAAAACAGTTGCCAACAAAATGAGCAGAGTAACCAACTCCTTTGCTAGCATGAAAACTGTAAAGACAACTGAGAATAGTATAATATCCTCTGATAAAAAGAACTAAACACCTAATGGCTGTTAAACATTCCTATAAAAATAAAAGTTATTTCCCTATATGGTAGAAGGAGTTTAATATGTGTCAAACAAAAACTAAACAAAAATATAAAAGGTTTGGTTATAAGTAAATATAAGAAATTTAAACTAGGAAATAAAAGACTATGGAAGCTTTCAGTATTTCAATCTAAAATCTCAGAAATACATAAAAACAAATTAATTGCCAACAAAAGCCTACCACCAAGTAGACTTTATCTACTTTTAAGGACCATTTGCAATCAGCAAATACAGAACACATTTATACAAAGTTCACATTTTAAATAACAACCTGCTCTCTAATTCCGGTGTACCTTTGAAAATAGCATACAAATTAAAAAGAAAAAGGAAAAAAAACTTGTTCATAGCCAAGTTTGATAAATAATGCAGTTGATCAAGCAAAGCAGTACATTTTTAGTTTAAAAAATTAAAAATATGTAACTATGAAATATAGTTGTTTTCTTCTACAGGAGCATTCCCCTTAGCTGTAAATTTAATCATGAGGTAGAAAAATGTGTAGTCATTGAAAAATGAAGGTACCACTGAAATTAATGTATAATCTCCCAAAATGACCACTTTGAAGTTCAACCCCATTTATGTTTGGAAGTTCAGATGCTTATTTAAAACTTGCTCTCATATTATCCATATATCATATTTTATAATAGAGCTTAAAAGATAGTAATAGCTCACATATTTCTGTGCTCACATTTCTGACCCAGCCATTATAAAAGGGCTTTAAATATGATTCTCTCATTAAATCCTATGGGATAGGCACTATTCCTATCCTCATTTTATAGTTGAAGACACCAAAAGTACAAGGTGAATAGTAGGTGGTGAAGCCAGAACTTGAACACAGGCAGTCTTATTTCAGAGTATTGCAAGTATTAAATGAGTTCATATATATAAACACTTACAATGCCTAGCACATACAATGGCAATCAATGAATGTTTGATGTTCTTATTGGTAAGTATGCTGTACTGTGCATTACTGGCATACTAAAATTACCGAGGTTTCAATCCTTACAGATCAACACATCGTTAAGTTGATCAACTAATTCTAGTGGTTTTCAGTAGTAATCCATTTGGTTAAAGGAGATTGAATATTTAAAGCCAAAAATGACAGAGCTAGAGAAAGTTAATGGAATCAATATTGAAGAAATGCAAGCATTAAGAGATAATGTTCATAATGCTAACAACATTGAAACCAAGAAAGGCAAAGCATGACATTTATTACTCAGAAACATAACCACTGATATTTATAACCAAAAAGGATTCAGATCCATTCATAAGCAGAAAAGGAATAATATAGGACTCCCTTGAAAATAGCAATCAAATAAAATGTAGCCATTCTAAGGAATAAATGAGAAAGTAGCTGATTATTTCACCTGACTTCAAGAAACATCTGAATGGATTTATTTATTTTCCTAGACTTTATCCAAATTCTACATAAAAAATAATTACCCATTATGACTTTAAAATTAATCTGTTCCCCAAACAGATCCTTCATATTGCTGATAATGGCCTTTCTCAAATACAACACGGACCTTCCATGTCAAAAATCTTCTGCATTCAGAATAAAATTTTAATTTCTTCAGGTTATACAAGACTTCCCACATGCTATGGCTCCAACAAACCCTTTTGATTTTATCCTCCTCTAGTACCCAACCCCACATTCCAAAGTACATCTAAATATACCGGCTATTCCACTTGTTCTTTTACAGTTCCTCTTCCTATACATCACGTTGCTTCTATCCAAATCATTCTTCCTTCCAACAAAATCTCAATTATTCTTTAATAGCAGACTAATATGTTCCTCATCTGTGAAGCTTTTCTGGACTTCAACCTAGCTTGGTTTCTCTTTTCAATTGTGTCCCCATAGTTTTGAGTACCTAAATCTACAGTATCATTTATAAAACAAGCTGTATTTGCATGTCTAGCCATCAGAGTTCTTCAAGAGTAAGGAATGTAATCTACTCCAAACATAATGGCTGAAGATATAGAAAATACTCTGTAGATGGCCAATAAATAATCTCAAAGTAGTCAAAGAATTCTAAGTGCTTGCCATGAAAAAAAATACACATACACACGCACATACACGTGCGTGCACACACACACTATTTCAGATGAGTTAAACCCTATACTAACGTTTCAGATTTTAGTGTGTAAGCAACTAGTTCAGGCAGTTTTATTATCATACAATATAAATAACATTTTATTATCAAACAATATAATTTTTCTTATCAATTTGCTATAAATGTTTAATTTAGCCACCTTCTAGTGACACTTTTACTACATTATTAAATAAAAAGTACCCCATTGAACTTAACATACAATACATTCAGATGTGAACAGTTAGTAGTGTTTTGGTGGCTACTAGTTCTTCCTCAGTATAATATTTAAAGTTTAATTTCTCTGTTAAAAAGCAAGACAGAGGTATTTTTCTGACATTTATTCTCTTTTCTCATATCCTTCCATCATCAAGCTCTTTTGAAGGGAAATACTAGAAATTACAAAAAGTGAAAAATTTTGTGTTATTAATATTATTACTGAGAAAAAGATAGGAGAATTAAGAAGCTTTATATAATAGCAATGTCAAAATATGAACTTCTATGGTACAATCACCCTCACTGTCACTTTTACATTTCAGTGCTGATGAATTATGTACCAGTAAACGACTATGCATGTAATTTTGGCTCATTCTCTAAACTGCACTCCATAGAGTAGCAGGAAATTTACAAAAAAAAAAAAAAAATTAAGAGCTTAAACTCAGATATAAGAATTGAAGGATCATATGATGTTCTATAAAACGTGTACACATAAGTCTATATTAATAAATTCCTATTAAGTAACTCTAGAATTTATAGAAATGCTACTATTAATATATCTGTATTAAAAAGATATTTTAAGAAATAGATGTCTGAATCTCATTTTTCACCAAGTTAGCCATCAGTCCCCAATACAGGGGTGCTAAGTCATTATAAAAAAAGATATATGCCACCCTGAAGGTAATTAGATATGATTTTTAATATATTTTCTCAGAAAATCAAATTTTTGGAAATATTTAAATTCAAAGCATTCTTTTTGCAATTTTGCATTCTTTTAACCCATTTTTCATTCCATTCTTTCTCATTTAATGTCTTGTTCCATAAATTTTAAAAATAATTAAATGCATAAGTCAAAATGTTTAAGAGTATTCTCTGGTATCTGAACTACTTTGCAGGATCAGATATAATACTGTGGAGAGTAATATCAGAACTTTTATAATTATGAAAATGCTTTTATGTCAGAAGATACTTAAGCTGAAGATTCATGGCTTACAAAAAATAAACATTTCAAACTTTAAACTTATTTTCTGGAATGATCCTTGCTCTGGAATAATATTCAAAACACTTTTCTGAAATGCATCTAGCCACACAGGAGAATGAGCATGCAAGGAGGTAAAGAAAGGGTTGGTGGTGAAACAATTATAGATTTCAAAGCTATTGTTTGAAATAACCCAAACAAGCAAAACATTAGTATTTTTATCTTGAAATTCTTGGTGAATTTTATGTTCTAGCCCATAATATATTAGTTTATTTTAACACAAAAGTTTCTTCCAAAATGGACATGTCCAAAAGATACACCATGCTGGCGACGGTGGTGGCGGCGGCGGCAGCGGGTTCGGTTGCGCGTGACGCACGGGGTGGGAGCGGAGCCCAGGCCGGGAGCAGGCGCCTCTGCCAGAGACCATGGGGAACGTGTTGGCCGCCAGGTCGCCGCCCGCAGGGCCGCCACCGCCGCCTGCGCCGGCCCTCGTGGAGCTGCCGCCACCTCCGCCCTCGCCGCCGGGCTTCACGCTGCCGCCGCTGGGAGGCGGCCTGGGCGCCGGCACCAGTACGAGTCGAGGTTCGGAACTGACCCCCGGGGCTGCAACTGCCAGCGCCTCAGGGGCCGCCGAGGATGGGGCCTGCGGCTGCCTGCCCAACCCGGGCACATTCGGGGAGTGCCACCGGAAGTGCAAGGAGCTGTTTCCCATTCAGATGGAGGGTGTCAAGCTCATAGTCAACAAAGGGTTGAGTAACCATTTCCAGGTGAACCACACAGTAGCCCTCAGCACAATCAGGGAGTCCAGCTACCACTTCGGGGTCACGTATGTGGGGACAAAGCAGCTGAGTCCCACAGAGGCGTTCCTTGTATTGGTGGGTGACATGGACAACAGCGGCAGTCTCAACGCTCAGGTCATTCACCAGCTGGGCCCCCGCCTCAGGTCCAAGATGGCCATCCAGACCCAGCAGTCGAAGTTTGTGAACTGGCAGGTGGACGGGGAGTATCGGGGCTCTGACTCACAGCAGCCGTAACCCTGGGGAAACCCAGACGTCCTCGTGGGTTCAGGAATCCTCGTAGCCCACTACCTCCAGAGCATCACGCCTTGCCTGGCCCTGGGCAGAATGCTGGTCTACCACCAGCAGCCTGGGGAGGAGGGCACTGTCATGTCTCTAGCTGGGAAATACACATTGAACAACTGGTTGGCAACGGTAACGTTGGGCCAGGCGGGCATGCACGCAACATACTACCACAAAGCCAGTGACCAGCTGCAGGTGGGTGTGGAGTTTGAGGCCAGCACAAGGATGCAGGACACCAGCGTCTCCTTCGGGTACCAGCTGGACCTGCCCAAGGCCAAAGGCTCTGTGGATAGCAACTGGATCGTGTGTGCCACGTTGGAGAAGAAGCTCCCGCCCCTGCCCCTGACACTGGCCCTTGGGGCCTTCCTGAATCACTTCCCCATCCCTGGTCAGTCCACCTTGCCCCGTCCACTTCCCCATCTCCTCGGTATAAATCATGTTTATAAGTTATGGAAGAACCGGGACATTTTACAGAAAAAAAACAAAAAGCAACAAAAAATATACGTGGGGAAAAAAAAAAGATACACCATGCTTATCTAAGGCTTTTAGTACTTCCTGTCATAGTTGCATATATGCCAGATTGAGGGGCACAGAACTAGGGGAATTTGGTGAAATGCTCATTATACAGAACTGTAATACCTATTGTGGCATTTTAATTATGTAAAAGCTGAATGAAATACTACATAAAAAGATACTGTTTATTTTTCTGATAGACTTCATAGCACTCCGTGGTACTGAGATTTTCTAAAATTTAGAAAACAACGTTAGTAATTATGTTTGTCTACTATAATAATTATGTTTTTCTTCTTTCACTTTTCAGGTTTTCCATTAATATAAAAAGTAAAATTTCTATACATTTCCATTTATTTTAAATCAAAGCAGTGTCAACAAATCTACATTACCTATAGAATATAAAGAGAAGTATGTGAAACTTTATAAACATTTAAGTTATACTTTCCTGACAGACAACCCCATACCTGCTATCATGTCATCTACAGCACTCATTTTCAGCAATACTTGTTCAATTAGTCCAGCTTCTGTGCTAGTCTGTACATTCCGAACACTTTTTCATAGAATGGCTGTAAACATGCTCCCTATTTCTGCTTGACATGTTACATCACAGTGCTCTAAAAGCTCTGTCATGCATGTTATACTCTCAGCATCCTGGATAATAAAGTTCATCTCCAGTTCAAATTCTCTGCCAACCAACTGAAAGTAAACAGAAAGAAACAATAGTGTTAACATGGGAGGTTACCGATAACAGTAGAATAAAATAATAACAACAATTCAAAGCTACTACTCTAAAAAAGTTTCAAGGCTTTTGGTATAAAATTATTTTTTATAAAAAGTATAAGAGCTACAGATAAATGACAGGCATTGTAAGCACTGAAAGTAGCGAACACTGAAGGGGTGGCCTGCCCCTCCACACCTGTGGGATATCTCATCAGGTGGGATGAGAGACTGAGAAAAGAAATAAGACACAGAGACAAAGCATAGAGAAACAACAGTAGGCCCAGGAGACCAGCACTCAGCATACCAAGGACCTGCACCAGCACCGGTCTCTGAGTTCCCTCAGTTTTTATTGATTATTATTTTCATTATCTCAGCAAGAGGAATGCAGTAGGAGAGCAGGGTGATAACAGGGAGAAGGTCAACAAAAAAACATGTGAGCAAAAGAATCTATGTCATAATTAAGTTCAAGGGGAGGTACTATGCCTGGATGTGCACGTAGGCCAGATTTATGTTTCTCTCCACCCAAACATCTCAGTGGAGTAAAGAACAATAAAGCAGCATTGCTGCCAACATGTCTCGCCTCCCGCCATAGGGCGGTTTTTCTCCTATCTCAGAACTGAGCAAATGTACAATCGGGTTTTATACCGAGACATTCAGTTCCCAGGGGCAGGCAGGAGACAGTGGCCTTCCTCTATCTCAACTGCAAGAAGCTTTCCTGTTTTACTAATCCACCTCAGCACAGACCCTACACGGGTGTCAGGCTGGGGGATGGTCAGGTCTTTCTTATCCCATGAGGCCATATTTCAGACTATCACATGGGGAGAAACCTTGGACAATACCCGGCTTTCCAGGGCAGAGGTCCCTGTGGCTTTCCACAGTGCACTGTGCCCCTGGTTTATCGAGACTCGAGAATGGCGATGACTTTTACCAAGCATACTGCTTGTAAACATTTTGTTAACAAGGCACGTCCTGCACAGTCCTAGATCCCTTAAACCTTGATTCCATACAACACATGTTTTTGTGAGCTGAATGTTGGGGCAAAGTGGCTGGGGCAAAGTGGCTGGGGCAAAGTTACAAATTAACAGCATCTCAGCGAAGCAATTGTTCAAGGTACAGGTCACAATGGAATTTCCTATGTCTTCCCTTTCTACATAGACACAGTAACAGTCTGATCTCTCTTTCTTTTCCCTACAAACAGAAATCTAATTTTCACATAAATGGGAAAGGGTGATTTCAAGTCTAGTAAAACAGAGCAAACTACAGCATGTGATTCCTGGGTGCGATTCAGGAAAAATTCCTAAAAAGAGGGTTTGGCCTTTAAAAGTGATAATCAACAGAAAATGTAGAATTTACTAAGGATAAATTTTAAGACACGAAATTCATTTTCTTTTTTGATATTACTAGTCTTACAGATAAAGAGATGTAACTGGGGCATAATCTCCATATATAGAAGATGAAGAAATATGAAACTGATACAACTTACAATAAATGTTGCAATAATGAAATGAATGTTAAAAATAAGTTGAACAGAAATATGCAAGGTCTTGTAATGCTTTTTTTTTTAAGCACAAATGTGAATTGGGTAAAGAAAGCTGATTTAACAGCAACACATTTGACTTCAGCATTATGGCAAATGAGTCCAAAGTCATACTGCCCCTCCCGTTTCGTATTTTAAGTGCAGTAATAGACAAATACACACAGAACAAAATAACATAATAATACTCTGTTACTATCTGTTGATTGAATCCCATAGGAACTATTATATTCAGTTATAAGCATCATTCTTAAAAAAGAACACTGTCAAACTGGATATCCTTTTGGTTTAAAGAATGATAAGATTTAGGAATAACTTGATAAAAACAGAAGGAAGAGTAAAGGGGACTTTGTCTTGCATCTTAGGTACCAACACCACCACCGTGGGGTAGAGCACCAAGTGGGCTCTTGGGGTCCCCAATTCTAGGACTTGACTCTTGGACAGCATTTCTAGACCTGCCCTGGGACAAAGGGGAGCCCACTGCCCTGACGGGTGAGTCCCAGGCCAGGCAATATTCACCACAAGCTGATATAAGAGCCCTTTCTCCTTAAGGGAACATCGATGGTACTTTGGCAGTACTCATGGCCAGGAGTGGCAGTGGCTACGGGGTGAGGCTCCTCAGCTTTTGGAAAGGGGAAAAAGTGGAAAGAGTGGGAAGGATTGTGTCTTGTGGTTTGAGTGCCAGCTCAGCCGCAATACAACACAATGCCAGGTAGATTTCTAAGGTTTTTGACTCTAGTCCCTGACTCCCGTATGGCATCTCTGGACCCACTGGTGGCCAGGGGGACTTTGCCACCCTGAAGAGAAGGACACAGGCCCAGCTGACTTTGCTACCTGCTAATTGTAGAGCCCCAGGGCCTTGAGTGAACATAGGCTATAGCCAAGGAGTGATTAAGGCAAGGCCCAGCACTGTGCTTGCTTCAGGTGTGACCCAGCACAGTCATGGTGGTGGTGGTCATAGGGGTGCTTGTATCATACATCATATCAGCCCCAGCTTTAGGTATCTCAGAACAGAGAGAGAGAGAGACTCTGTGGGCTTGGGAGAAAGTAAGGGAAGAGAAAAAGAGACTCTGCCTGGTAATCTAGAGAATTATCCCAGATCTTATCCAAGGCCATCAAGGCAGTACCTCTACAAGCCTGCAAGAACCACAGTGTCACTGGAAAGCCTTCCCAAGAAGGATGGCTACAAATAAGCTCAGGCAATGAGGAGTACAATAAATACCTAACTCTTCAATGCTCAGGCCCCAAGGAACATGTACTAGCATTAACACCATCCAGAAAAACATGACCTCACCAAATGAACTAAATAAGGCACCAAGAATCAATCCTCAAGAAACAAAGCTATGTGACCTTTCACATGGAGAATTCAAAATAGCTGTGTTGAGGAAACTCAAAGAAATTCAAGATAACACAGAGAAGGGATTCAGAATTCTATCAGATAAATTTAACAAAGATATTGAAATAATTTTTAAAACTCGAGCAGAAATTCTGGAGCTCAAAAATGCAATTGGCATACTTAAGAATGCATCAAGTCCTTCAAGAGCAAACTGGATCAAGCAGAGGAAAGAATTAATGAGCTTCTGAAGAAAGGCTATTTGAAAACACACAGAGGAGAAAAAAGAATAAAAACCAATGACACATGCATACACGATCTAGGGAATAGCCTCAAAAGGGCAAATCTAAGAGGTATTGGCCTTGAAAAAGAGGTAGAGAACAGGGTTAGAAAGTTTATTTTGAGTAAACATTCCAATAACAGAGAACTACCCAAACCTAGAGAAAATATCCAAGTACAAGAAGGTTATAGAATACCAAGCAGATTTAACCCAAAGAAGACTACCTCAAGACATTTAATAATCAAACACCCAAAGGTCAAGAATAAAATAAGAATCCTAAAAGCTGCAAGAGAAATAAACAATAACATACAAAGGAGTCCCAATACATCTGGCAGCAGACTTTTCAGTGAAAACCTTATATGCCAGGAGACAGTGGCATGACATATTTATATTGCTGAGGGAAAAAAACTTTTACCCTAGAATAGTATATCCAGTGAAAATATCATTTGACCATGAAGAGGAAATAAAGACTTACCCAAACAAATAAAAGCTAAGGGATTTCATCAACGCCAGACCTGTCCTACAAGAAATGCTAAAGAGGGTACTTCAATCAGAAAGAAAAGGGCATTAATGAGCAATAAATGATCACCTGAAAATGCAAAACTTACTGGTAATATAAGTACACAGAAAAATACAGAATGTTATAAACACTGTTACTGTGGTTTGCAAACTACTCTTATCCTAGGTAGAAAGACTAAATGATGAATTAAACAACAATAATAACTACAACAACTTTTCAAGACATAGGCAGTATAATAAGATATAAACAGAAAAAACGAAAAGTTAAAAAGCAAGGAAATGAGGTTAAGGCAAGTTTTTACTAGTTTTCTTTTTGCTTGTTTGCTTATGCAAATAGTATCCCGTTATCAGGTTAAAATGATGAGTGATAAGACAGCATTTGCAAGGCTCATGGTAACCTCAAACCAAAAAACATACAATGGACACAAAAAAAAATAAAAATCAAGTAACTAAATCACCAGAGAAAATCATCTTCACTAGAGGAAGACAAGAATGCAAGAAAGAAGACCACAAAACAACCAGAAAACCAAAAACAAAATGGCAAGAGTAGATCCTTACTTAATAATAACAGTGAATGTAAATACACTAAACTCTCCAATCAAAAGACACAGACTAACTAAATGGATGAAAAAACAAGACCTATTGATCTGTTGCCTAAAAGAAACACACTTCACCTATAGAGACACATAAAGACTGAAAATAAACAGATGGAAAAAGATATCCCATGCCAAAGAAAACCAAAAAAAGAGCAGAAGTCACTATACTTATATCAGGCAAAAGAAATTTCAAGACAAAAGCTAACTATAAAAAGAGACAAAGAAGGTCACCATATAAAGATAAGGGGGTCAATTAAGCAAGAGGATATAATAATTTCAATATATATGCACCCAACACTGGAGCACCCAGATATATAAAGGAAATACTATTACAGCTAAAGACAGCTATAGGCTCCATAATATCTGCAGACTTCAAAACCTCACTTTCAGCATTGGACACATCTTCCAGAAAGAAAACAAAGAAACATCAGAATTAATCTTCACTGCAGACCAAATTGAGCTAATAGATATTTACAGAACATTTCATCCAGAAGCTGCAGAATACACATTATTTTCCTCAGCACATGGATCAGTTGAAAAGACAGACCATATGTTAGGTCACAAAACAAATCTTGAAACATTCCAAAAAAATGAAATAATATAAAGCATCTTCTCTGACAACAATGGAATAAAACTAGAAATACCAAGAGAAATTTCGGAAACTATACAAATACATGGAAATCAAACAATATGCTCCTGAATGACAAGTGGGTCAATGAAGAAATTAAGAAAGAAATTGAAAAATTTCTTGAAACAAATAATAATAGAAACACAACATACCAAAATCTATGGGATACAACAAAAGTTGTACTAAGAGTGATGTTTATAAGTGCCAATATCAAAAAAGAGGAAAAATATCAAATAAACAATCAAATGCTGCATCTTAAAGAACTGAATGATCAAGAGCACACCAAATCCAAAATTAACAGAAGAAAAGAAATAATAAAGATCAGAGCAGAAATAAATAAAATTGAAATAAAAAATACAAAAGATCAAAGAAATGAAAAGTTTATTTTCTGGAAAGCTAACCAAAATTGACAAATCTTTAGCCAGACTAAGAGAGAAGATCCAAATAAAGAAAATCAGAAATAAAAAAGGAGACATTACAACTGATACTGCAAAAATTCAAAGGATCATTAGCGGCTACTGTGGGCAACTACACGCAAATTAATTGGAAAATCTAGAAGAAATTTATGAATTGCTACACATATACAACTACCAAGATTGAACCAGGAAGAAATCCAAAACCTGAACAGACTAATAACAAGTTACAAGACTGAAGTTGTAATAAAAGTCTCCCAGTAAAGAAAAGTCTGGGAAATGATAGCTTCACTGCTGAATTCTAACCAAACATTTAAAGAACTAATATTAATTCCACTCAAACTATTCTGAAAAATAGAGAAGGGCATACTTCCAAATAGAGGAGGAAGGAATACTTCCAAACTCATTCTATGAGGCCAGTATTACACTGTTACCAAAACCAGTCACAGACACAAATTTTTAAAAATATATTTATTGACTGACCAAAAAATAGAGCAAATGAGGGATTCTTACCCCAATTTTGTTTGTTATAAATATTTATAATATGTCTCTAGTTCTACAGTAAGGATATAAGCTTGGTTAGTTACATGGCTTTAACAAGTTTACATCAAAAAATATCTCATAAGCCACTGGCACTCTGAAAAAGGTACTGTGATGCATTTCATTGGTTTCATTATAATAAGGTCTCTTGTAAAAATTGTCACTAAGCAAAAAATAACATAACTCTGGGCTACTAGAAAATCCTTCTTAGTTCTTCATAAGTACAACAAACAAGCACCTAACAGTAGAAGTAAATTGGACATGCTGCCAGAAATTACAACAATGAATGCAAATTTGAATACTAGTTTCATAGTTCTCAGCCTCAAAAGTGAGAACCTTAAAAGGTAAAAAGATTTCGGAATGACAGTTTCAGTAACACTTGGTTGGGAAAAGATTGGTAAAAATACAAAGAATAACTTTATTCTTAGTTTTTCCTAAAAATGAATTATTAGGCAAAAATATAATGGATATCATGTCTGTAACTCATAAATTACAGACATTACACAGCATAAATATTTTTAAACAACTACATTTATATGTAAGAGTTTTTGATATATTAGCTTGCTGGTCTAGAAGCAAAATTATTACCACCTGGGGAATAATAAGAAGGAAGAATGAGTTCATATATCAATGTGCAAAGGAATCAGCGTATCCATATTTTAAAACTGAAAAAGATGTTACAAACCATCTATTTGAATTGCTCCCTTCATGGAGAGCCTAGCTAGGCTTTTATATAGTCAAATGGATACTGTTTAAATGACTTTTAATATTTCAAAAAGTATCACATATCATATTCTTGAGAACTAGAACTACATGAGCTAAGTGAAACATCATCTTTTATTCTTCACTGACTATAAAGGCAATGCTGTTAATCTAGCTATCTCACTGCAAAACAAAGTCATATTTATTTAATAGAAATAACAGTAGAAACTGGAGAAGAAGGTAAGGTAAGAAATAATTTTAAAAATTAAATGTTGGTAATCATGGAATCCCTACACCAAGGTCAAAAGCTAAGGTAACAGACAGGTAGACAATTCAAATTTCCTGACTAGTCCAGTGATCTTGCCTACCTCCACACTACTTTGAATACAGGACATAAATAATAGATTTAACAAATGTCAAATGTTTACAATAGTGACCACGGAGCAATGAGATTACGGGCGACTTTCCATTTCTTCTTCACATTTATTTTTAAATGATTTGCAATAAGCATATATACTATTATAATAAAAACATACACACACAAACACTCACACACATTTAATAGTGAGTCTTCCTAAAGCAAAACCTGTAATTGTACAAATCATGTTCAGAAATATGATTTTCCCATGTTTCCTTTTCCATTCACATAATCTTGGAGTATGTTTCGTCATTTATAAAACAGGGGTAATGGTTGGTTCTTACACTATGTTTCACTAATTATTGCTGGGACCACTCAAAAAATAGATGTAAAAGTAAATCTACTAACTGATTATGCAATGAGTGCCACTCATGTGGTATCTAATAAACAGTCTTCATTCACTAGAAACATAAGAGAATTTTTTTTTTTTTTTAGACAGAGTCTCGCTCTGTCGCCCAGGCCGGAGTGCAGTGGCGCGATCTCGGCTCGCTGCAGGCTCCGCCCCCCGGGGTTCACGCCATTCTCCTGCCTCAGCCTCCGGAGTAGCTGGGACTACAGGCGCCCTTAAAAGCCTAAAGGAGAACTAACATTTTATTCCTTACTACACGTATCTATTGAATGTATCTTGCAAGCCATGTGTAGTTTCAAGGTACAGGAAATATAGCGGTAAATGAAACAAAGTCCCCGTCCTCATATAGCTTATGTTCTAATACAGGTCACAGACAATAAACTAGCAAAATGTATATAAATAATATGATTTCAGAAAATGATACTTTTTTATGGTATTTATTTTTATGAAAAAAATATAGTCTTGTAGTAATTTGTTATACAATTTTTTCCTGACTACTTTAGCACTACTTGAAGGCAGGGACTATAGCTTATAAATAAACTCTGCAGCAATAAGCTATGCTCATTGATTGATACATGGTAAATAATTGATAAATGTCTCAAGGAAAGAAAGGAGGAAATAACTTAAAGGTAAAAATTCTAAAAATTCAATACATTCAATAGTTTGACACAGATTACTTACATTACAAGGCAATGTCACATATTAAAGGAAGAAAAACAAAAGGTTTTAAAGTCAGAATAAAATCATTCCTCTATGGGACTGTTAAATTCCCTAAAACATGATTTTGGGAGAACAATAAGGTCCTCAAAACTAGCATTCAAAGTATTGAATCATCATTGCTTGTGTTAAGTAAATTATTTGGCCTCTTGGAGTCTTGATTTTCTTACCAATGAAATAGGAATGAGAGCATAGGAATGAACAGCTCTCATTATAGCAAGGGGTTGTAAGCACAAATGAGATAAATTATGATCCTTTGAAAAGTACAAAGTATTACAGAGAAAGCAATAGCATTAATTCTGGCAGCAGTCTGGAATGGAGCAGTAATTCCAGTCATCTGGAAATACAGGCAGTAGTGAGTCACGGCTCGTAGACTCAGAGCAGGGAACTGGTTTGGATAAAGTGTGTGACAAGTTGTGGGGGATGTTAAAAGGAGCTAAGCAGGGCCGGGCGTGGTGGCTCACACCTGTAATCCCAGCACTTTGGGAGGCCGAGGCGGGCGGATCACCTGAGGTAGGAAGTTTGAGACCAGCCTGGCCAACATGGGGAAATCCCGTCTCTACTAAAAATACAAAAATAAGCCAGGTGTGGTGGCGCATGCCTGCAATCCCAGCTACTCGGGAGGCTGAGGCAGGCGAATCGCTTAAACCTGGGAGGCAGAGGTTGCAGTGGCCACTGCACTCCAGCCTGGACAACAGAGCAAGACTCCCTCTCAAAAAAAAAAAAAAAAATTGGAGCTAGGCAGGTTCCATGCCCAGAGCTAGTGGTCAGGAATCAAATGGCAAGGAATCAAAACTGGTCACACAAGCCACAGTTGGGGCAAACCTGAAAAGACAGTTGCAGTGACCATGGATCCTCAAGAATGGAATAGGAAGGCAATATAAAGTTTGGTAAACAGTCAGGAAACTGGAAATGTGATGAACAAAATGAAGGATAATGTAAACGAGAGGCCAAATTTGAGATCTTCAAAAATGCAGCAAGGCACTTTTGTGTGTCAGCTCCAGTGTATGTATAAGGATCCTTTGAAGGAAAGCATTGACTCTTGAGGAGCAGGTGCTCAGGATTACATGATCGAGGTAAGGGAATGTAGGTGGAACTGGACCAACAGTTTCTCCTCAAGAAAATTCTGGCAATAAATATCTTAGACAGTTTTTAGAAGAACCTTTCCAGTCATCCATTTTCTAATTGGACAGCAAGATAAAGCTTTGTCAAATCTCTAGACAAATTTCCCTTGGGATTTACACCATGTTTTCATGATACCACAAAATATTTTGAAAGTAAAAAAACTCAGTCGTTGATGTATGCACTCATTATTAGATCCTCAGTATGTATGGTTTCAGCTAGGAAAGAAAGCATTGCCTCCTCTCTTGTTGACCTGAGTTTACTAAGTAACTGGCTAAAGTTAATTAATGAATCAATTGTACTGTAGCAACATGCATGTGAATGCTAGGCAAAACCCTCCTGTGGATGGCAGAGAATTACTGTCTTTAGGTAACTGTTTGTTTGCTTTCTATCTCTACATTCAAATCTGACCAAGGAATGCCACTAGCTAGACATGTGTAGTGATTACCAGCGAACCTCAGGCCAGGCTCACTCAGGACTGGCTACCCCCAGGATGGAGGGTTGGCATGCCAGTAAGGAACCTGGCCTTAGCAGCAAGTTGTTTTTTTTTTTTTCTGCAAGTATCGTATATTTCTTCTCCAACCAATTTTGTTCCCCTTGGTTCCTGGGAACCATTATACTGTTAGGTTAATGGATCATTGGTTTATCCACCTGTACGTTTCCTGAATTTTGGCCATTCAACCATGCATTCCTGGTGATTGGGTTTACAAGTACTAGTTTCCTAGGTCCAACATCACATTCAGATATCTCTTAACTATAAATTGGTGTAGTAACTGTGATATATCAGCATAGAGATGGCTCCATCCATTAAAAATATATTGGTGGCTTCAAAAAGTTTTATATTTGTTACTGGCATATAAAACAAATAAATGCCCAGATACAAAATTGTGCAGAACCCAGATTAGTATCTAATAAAGAATTAATAAAGAATATGTATTAATATAGATATATTTATTTACATATTAATGGTTTTTTCAAATTGGCCAAATTTTTCAAAACAATTACATATTAAAAATTGAGATATATGAAAATTCTAACTAATAGATTTATAGTCATTCCTAGGGTAGGCATTAACACCTCTTGGTAACTTCTGTAAGTTAATTATAGTTTAACTTCCTAATTAATTAATTCTGTAAGTTAATTTATAGTTTAACTTCCCAGAGGCTTTGGTGTCTTTTTTTACCCTCACTTTAAAATACACACAATAGTATATAATATATCACATTTGGTCAACAGTTCAAATTTTTTTATTCTTTAAAGCATGTACAAAAATATACTAGTTAGAATTCCTGTGAAAAATTCTAATACAGAGGAATTATATGGCTATGTTTGGAAAGATAATATTTCTTTAAAAATGTGTTGTTTTTTATGTTTTATGTTTGCAATAAGCATTATTTAAGTTTGATTGAAGAACTTCATGATTTTTATGTATTACTTTCTTGTATTGAGAAATAGTGGTCCATTGTTGGGCTGTATTTAAAATTAATGTGTATGAAACAAGAAATATTTAATTAGAGTTATTAATTTTCCACAAGTAATATGTGTATTTGACCTAAATCAGTATCTTTTATCATAACAGCCTCACATACAACAAGAATAATAGCAAGGACAACAACACCAAATCTGAATGTTTCCTTTGTGCCTATGCTCCTAACTATCATGTTATACTCATTCATATAAACCTAACAATTAATTTGAAGTTAGACACACAGGATTTACTCATCAGTATTAGAGCATTCGCTGTTATCCAGGAAGAAAACTATCCCTGGTGCTGAAACTGCCCCGTGTAGTCCTTGTGGTTGAAGAATTAAAACAGTTTCTTTTAGACATTTCCTTTCAGGAAGTATTAAATTTCACATATGTTAACATCTTAATTAATATAAGATTAATATTCTACTTATGACTATGTTTTAATATTGAAAAATGAGTTTATGATGAGTTTCATTAGTTTCTAGAGAAAACAATGGTTTAAAAAATTTCAGTACATAAGACATTGAAGCGTCTATGAATGTTCCAGAAATCTGAAAACATATACCACTAATCAAAAGTTTCTCCATTCATGTTGACTAGCATTTGCCTTAGGTGTCAGAATTAATGGATTTCTGTTAAAAATAAACACCTGAAATCCAATTCCCTAACTGCATTATAACACACTTGATTACAAGTACTTAGCTTTTATTTAATGCTTATAATGACTTTAAATTGTAGCGAAATGGGCTTCCCCCAAGAGGACTGCTTTGTTGATCCTGAGTTGGGGTCCTAAGCCAGAAGTTAACTATGCTTTCATATATTCTTGCAAGTAGAGGTACAGTGTTGGTGTAAATTCTCCTTAAATGGATAGCTAAGCCCAGAGGAAATAATGGTAATTGGCACCATATGACCGTATGCAATTCATGTGCATATCAAGAAAAGAACATTATAGGTCTGGTGAGACCCTATTTTGTTCTGACAATGTCATCTGTATTTATATGTCTGTTTCGGGAATTTGGAAGTCAAGGGATTCTGTGCTGGATTGTAAAGCTTCTGCTTTGTGTGCTTCTGCTTGATGTAGCTACTCAATTTTGTATTCTTGACTAATAAAGTCATAAACATAATTCAACCTCCGTGTGTGTGCTCTCCTTCCATTAATTTATACTTTAGCAAAAAGTATTGAATGTGTGTGTTATGTAACAGTTTCCTATAAATTATATTAAATGATTTATTAGCTTTATTCAATAAAGTTTTAAGTGTTTTCTTCTATGACTACATTACTTGTTAACAAGAAATTTCTTTAACTGAAAACTTCAAGCAAGATTATCTGGGTAACTCTTTCAAAAAGAATTGTACCTGTATTTTGGGATTGAATATATTAATTTCTTTTACTGTTTTAATAGGACATAATTTTACAAGACAAGCCACTTTTTCAAAGCCTGCTTCTCCTCCCATTTTCCCTATCTCTGTGATTGACACCTCCAACCCCTGTAGCCTGCCTCTGCTCTCTCTTAACCAAGTCCTACTGATACTACTTCCTAAGTATTTTTCAGCCCTGTCCTTCCTCTCCATCATGATGGACTCATTTCCAGTTGAAATCCTTATGGTACCCTCCCTGGATTATTGCAGTAATCAGAGAGCTGGTCTCCTTAACTCAGGATTCACTTCTTCTCATCTGTTGTTCACAGTGACACCAGAAAGATATTTTAAAATGATGAACTAGAATTAATTATATAAAACACACATACACACATAAATAATACTTAAATCTTTCAATGATGTTCCAATTATATAAAATATAATATAGGAGGCACTTTATGTTCTGGCCTCAGTCTTTCAATTCAAACTTATCTCCGGCCACTATCTCCTTTGACAATTGTATTCTGGCTACTTTAGAATAATAATAATATATAATATTCATAGAGCCCTTCCTGGGTTCCTATCACTGTACAAAATACTTCACATATAACATTTAATCTTTGACAACTTTATTAGGCAGGTACTATTATTATCTATCTATATATCTATATCTATATATATAAAATCTATATTTTATAGATAAAAAAAGAGGGTAAAAACTTGCCAAAATTGCAAAGCTTAGAAGTGTAGCCATTGGGATTTGAGTCTAGGCATCCTGCCTCTACAGTCCACAGTGGCTTTCTTGTGCCAAAAGGCTTGCAGTTCCCTAGACTTGACATTTCTCAAAATCTGTGTCTTTCACATGCTCTTCCAATTGTCTGGAAAATCTTTCCCAACCTCAGTCTACCCATGGTACTCATGTTCACCCCACAAGAAATGACTCCATCTGTCCCCTCTCCATGAAAATTTCTCTGAATCTCAGCACTTTGGGAGACTGAGGCGGGTGGATTGCCTGAGCTCAGGAGTTCAAGACTGCCCTGGGCACCATGGTGAAACCCCGTCTTTACTAAAATACAAAAAACTCACCAGGTATGGTGGCACATGCCTGTAATTCCAGCTGCTCCAGAGGCTGAGGCAGGAGAATTACTTGAGCCTGGTAGGCAGAGGTTGCAGTGAGCCAAGATTGCACCACAGCACTCCACCTTGGGCTATAGAGTGAGACTCCATCAAAAAAAAAAAAAAGAAAGAAAGAAAGAAAGTTTCCCTGGTAAGGACTCATGCCTTGGCACTGAGGGCATCTTGCAAAACTCAAGGATGCCACTTGGTGTAGCAGATAGAAAATAATTGTGATATGAGACAGGCCTGAATTGGATTTATGGCTCTATTGCATATTGGTTTTGTGATTTTGGGAAAGTCATTTAATCTTTCTGAATTTTAGTTTCTTTAGGGATTAATAGTACCTTTTCCAGGGAGCTGTTATTAGGATGAGACAATGATCAGAAAATAGCAAGAATTCATTAGTGCTCTCACCACCCTTCCTCTGTTGCAGCCCTCAGTACCTGAATGGCAATCGTGCATCTTCTCATCGGCCTGTGAATTGCTTCCCCTTTCATCTTAGGCTCTGCAGTATTCAGTGTCACTAGTGAAATGTGTGAAATGAATGAATCGACAACTGATGCTTAATACCTAACGAGACAAGTGAATGAATCCTTTTGTTCATTTTATGGCCAGAAAGATAGTGTAATTAAGTAATAACAACTGGCAAAAAAGAGAAACTCCACCTATACTTTGTCCTTTTCTCAAGTAGCATCTAAAACTTTTTCCTTCTGATTAAAAAATTATCACTGAAAGATCTCTTTGAATGTGTCTTGAATTTTGTATAAGCAGGTGATCTCAGCTCAGCATAATACTAGAAGATTATATGATTTTAAAAATTGGTTCATAGTTTTATAGTCTTGGAATATCTATCATCTATCTATCTATCTATCTATCTATCTATCTATCTATCTATCTATCTATCTAGGTATCTATCTACCTATCTACCTACCTACCTACCTACCAATCTGTCATCTTCAAATATATTTAGGCTGCTTTCCTGAGGCTGATTTTTTATTCCATTCTTTCATTTTTTTCAAGATCCTGGTATTCCCTGGTGTATTGGGTCTAGGTATTTATGATTAGGAGAAGAAATGATTCAGTGGCAGCTCCCCAGGATTTTGGATTATGAGACATGAAACTAGAAATGGCAACTTAGGTGGATTGTTTGAGAACACTGTGTATTACTGCTTCTGTATCAACTTCTATTCTCCCTTGTTCATACTTTTTTAATATGCATTTCAAGCACTATGTATTGGTGAACATTTCAACCCAAATCATATAATAATAGAAGATGCCATAGTTGGAAAGGCATAAAAGGTCATTCTAAATGTGTGAACAAATTAGAGAACTACAAAATTAGAGATCATCATAGCTATATTGCAGACAGACTTCATTGCTTTTCACAGAAATTAAGCCATAGATAACAATGACAGGTTGAAATAGGTCATGATTTCTAAAAATAATGTCATGTAAATTACCTACGTAAATACATTAAAATATGAATTATTTGAAAAAATGAATAGTAGGTCCTCAGAATAGCCCTACACATAAGTATATAATAAAAGCATGAGTTCAAGAGCAGAATGTTAATGAAGCTCCCTGTCTTGGTTTCTTTAATAAGATTCTTCTATTCTGCTTTCTGGAACTATTATGTTCCCATTATAAACTTTGTACCAAGTTAAAAGTAAGGCCCCTTTTGCCCCTTTTTTCTGTCTTCCTGGCTCTCTAGTCCTAGGAAGTTAAAAAGAGTCAGAAAATCCCATCTTTTCTTCCAGGAAGTTTGGGAGAAAAGTCAAGATAGGCTATAAGGTGTTGCACTTGATAATCCAACCATCCTTCTACTGATGGTAGAGTCTCATTATCCTTCCTCAGATATATGCAATGACAAAAATAGATAATGAGAAAGCATGCATCCAAGTAACTCTTTGAGTGTATAAGGGCTGATTAAGTTGAAAGAAGATTGCCAGGCGAGGTGGTTCATGCCTGTAATCCCACCACTTAGGGAGACTGAGGCAGGCAGATCACTTGAGGTCAGGATTTCGAGACCAGCCTCACCAACATGGTGAAACCCCGTCTCTACTAAAAATACAAAAAGTATTCGGGCGTGGTAGCGCATGCCTGTAATCCCAGGTACTCGAGAGACTGAGGCAGGAGAATCACTTGAACCCAGGAGGCAGAGGTTGCAGTGAGCTGAGATGATGCCACTGCACTCCAGCCTGGGCAGAAGAGTGAGACTCCATTAAAAAAATTGCAAAGTATCTACTAATCTAAAAAATGCACAGCCTCAGTTCTCAAAGAGTTTATGTTGTAGGATCATGTCAGTTCCATGTATAATTTGTTTATCACAACTGCACACTGTTACGTAAAGGAAATGCACAACTTGAGATATTTGTTTTGGCTAGAAAACTGAGAAACATTAATAGAGGCAATTAGTGAACTGTCTTTTCAAGGAGGTTTTTAAATGGAATGTATTCATGATAATGTCAATGCAGGGCTACCTAGAGACAGAGGGAAGAATTAAACAAGTTTTTTTTTTTAACTTAACTTTTGGACTCAGTTATTAAGAAAGCATTTAAAAGTAAAGTCAAATTCAAATCTTTCTATCCTGTGAGCTCTGCCTCTCATCTCTGTCAGGCTCCAACTCCATCAAAGACTGGCGGTCACATGAATGGAGTGGAAAATATTCTCTAGTTTATTTGTTTGTGTATTTTTTCTTTAATGTTCCAACTCACATAATAAGTTTAACATGAAAATTAAAAGCAATCACATGTAATTCTCAATATCAGAGTAGATGAGAGTGGCTGCCTTCTCACCAATACCCAGAATGCACTGCAGTTTTCCCAGCTGCCCTTGCACCTTCTCAATAGCCACGTGACCAGCTTTGGTGACTGCTGTGTGTCAGTGAAGGGAGTATTTTCCCCTTTTCCCTAGCTAACATGCAGATGTGGTGATGAGCTCTTTTGGGCCACAAAGGCCATGCCATAGTGACTGGATAAAAGAAAAATAGAAGATACCCAAGCACTGACCTCCCTGTAAAGCTATGCCACCTTAACAACTTGTTCTATTATGTGACTGGGAAATAGTCTCTTTTCTTGTCTAAGCCACTCTTATTTTGAACTTCTATCACAGCCACCAAACCTGCATCTTAACTAACACAAAACTTTGTACCTGGAAGAGGAGCTGAACAGAAGATAATCTGAAATACATGGCATTTACTCAGAATTCCGCAGCATGTGACAGTGATAAAGCTGGTGAGTTTTGCTAGGCCATGGACAAATGTTTGTTAAAACCACCATCTATGATGTCATGGAAGGTAGAGCACATGGCATCTGAACCTCTAACTCCAAAGAACATGGAGGAAAACATTTCAAGTGTCTGGTATAAGATGCTTGCTTCTTGCTACTTTTAGTAAAGGCTCCAAGAGAGGAACTCAAGCTGGAGCTAACCAACATAAAACAGGGCAGGAAAGGACTATAACTACACCAAGAAGACTCTCTGCCTGTGGCTTGAGATTGAAGTTGGCTAAAGTCTGGGAGGAGCTTCACAGTAAGCCTGCCAACTACTTCCCTACACTGAAGCAGCTGGAAGAAGTGGGTCTGAAGAGCCTGCCCTAGCAGGAGATAAAATTGTGGCCCCAAGCCAAGGCAGCCAAACAATGAATATCCCTAATCTGAAAATCTGAAATCTGAAATGCTTCAAAATCTGAAAGTTTTTGAGCACTTACATGATGCTCAAAGGAAATGTTCATTGGAGCATTTCAGATTTCAGATTTTCAAATTAAGGATACTCAACTGGTAAGTATAATGCAAATATTCCAAAATCTGAAAAATATCCAAAATCCAAAATACTTCTGGTCCCATGCATTTTCGATAAGGGATACTCAGCAAGTATTTTAAAAGATCAAAATAAGGCTAAGAGAATATGGATATTTAAGCTTATGGTTCTTTACATGGAACAGTTGAGGCCATTAAAAAAATGTCTAAGATATAGGCAGTGGAAGGCTGAATTCAAGAAAAAGTCTCAGAGGAAACTGAGAAAATGATGTTGCTTGGGTGGAGAGGAAGTTCTGGAATAAATGTGGCAGTTGTTAGAAGACATTATAGTTAGAAGACATTATAGTTAGATGGATAGACAGTAAAGAGGGGGCTTTTGTATTAAAATAGAGGAATAGTGGTTGGGAATAGGAAATATGGAGCTAAAATTATGCCAACCTACTTCTATTAAATAAATTCTATGACACCTTAGCCTTTGGGAAAATGACTAGCCTTCAGTGGAGCACACGTCAAGGGAAGCAATGTCCCCATACAGATAGCTGAATTTTAATTAAAGCAAAGAAATGGAGTCGATGTCCTCTAATGAGGTTTCCAGAAGTCACACTGAAAATATTTGGGAGGGAGGGAAGATTGATTCAGAAGTAAAACACAGAGCAGTATGGAGATAAGACACTGGAGAGCATAAATGAGTCGAGTTTTCAAAAAAATAGAACAAAATTTTTTGAAGTCAGTTGCCTATTATCTTCCTTCATAGTTCTTAGGGAGATATAACTAAAGGCCTCCAAAGAATTTGTGTCTGTCTATAGGGTACAGAATAAATTTATTTCAAAGATCTCCTCCTCCCAGAGTTGACTGTTTGACTTAGGGCAAAAGACTGAATGTAAATAGTAGCGAAACTGTCTCTGATATTATTGTAAGGAATAAAATAATTTTGCTTTGTAGATAAAATAGAATATTTTCTAGAGAGAACTGACCCAAACTCAATTTTAGGACTGGTCCTGAAATTCAGAAATGCCTTTCCCATATTGCCTAACCGTGCCTTTTTCACTGGAAATAAAAGTGCTGCCTTCAGGGAGCACACCTCCCCAGAGATAGTAAAATCAATGAGAAATGCAATGTCCATTTGTCAGTAAAGACATGTGAAGTTTGATGGGTTTCTTGGGACTGGACAACTAGTTAAAGATTCTACACAAAAATTAAGTTGGGCATAGAAACCAAAAATCTCAAGAGATCTTTGAAGAAGGAAACATGAAAAATCAGGACAAATTTAGAGAACTGTTGATGGCATAGATGTTAACTTCCAGAAGAAGATGGAAATAGACCACCATACAAAACAAAAAAGACAGAAGAGAATATTAGCACTCTGTTGCAAAGGAGAATAGGTATGCTCAACTGGTAAGTAGAATGCAAATATTCCAATATCTGAAAAAAATCCCAAATCCAAAATACTTCTGGTTCCATGCATTTTTGCTAAGGGATACTCAACAGGTATTTTAAAAGATCAAAATACAGATCAGAGAATATGGATACTGAAGATTATGAGCAAACGAGAATAAGAAAACATGTTGGAGGACTTTTAAAAATGTGTAAAGGAATTAATGAATTCTTGTCATCTGCAAACAGAGATAATTTTACTTCTTTAATTTAGTTGCTTTTTTTTTCTCATCAGATTGCTCTTGCAAGTACTATGTTGAATAAAAGTGATGAGACTGGGCATCCCTATCTTGTACTCAATCTTAGTAGAAAAGCTTTTAGTTGTTCCCCACTGACTATGATGTAGGCCATGGGTTTCTGATAAATGGTCTTTATTATGTTGAGGAACTTTCCTTCTATACATAAACTATTAAGAGGTTTTATCAAGAAAGGTTGCTAAATTTTGTTAAATGCTTTTTCTGCATCAATTCAGGTGACCATGTGGTTTTATCTTTCATTTTGTTAATGTGATATATCACATTGATTGATTTACATATGTTAAACCAACCTTGCATGCCAGAGATAATTCCCACTTAGTCATGATGTATAATCTTTTTGATGTGTTGTTGAATTCTACTTCCTAAATTTTTTTTCCTGATCAGCCATTTACTTATATATATATATATATATATTTTTTTATTACACTTTAAGTTCCAGGGTACATGTGCACAACGTGCTGGTTTGTTACATATGTATACATGTGCCATGTTGGTGTGCTGCATCCATTAACTCGTCATTTACATTAGGTATGTCTCATAATGCTATCCCTCCCCCCTCCCCCCACCCTACAACAGACCCAATTTGTGATGTTCCCCTTCCTGTGTCCAGGTGTTCTCTTTGTTCAATTCCCACCTATGAGTGAGAACATGTGGTGTTTGGTTTTTTGTCCTTGTGATAGTTTGCTGAGAATGATGGTTTCTAGCTTCATCCATGTCCCTACAAAGGACATGAACTCATCAATTTTATGGCTGCATAGTATTCCATGGTGTATATGTGCCACATTTTCTTAATCCAGGCTATCATTGTTGGACATTTGGGTTGGTTCCAAGTCTTTGCTATTGTGAATAGTGCAGCAATAAAAATACGTGTGCATGTGTCTTTATAGCAGCATGATTTATAGTCCTTTGGGTATATACCCAGTAACGGGATGGCTGGGTCAAATGGTATTTCTAGTTCTAGATCCCTGATTAATCGCCACACTGACTTCCACAATGGTTGAACTAGTTTACAGTCCCACCAACAGTGTAAAAGTGTTCCTATTTCTCCACATCCTCTCCAGCACCTGTTGTTTCCTGACTTTTTAATGATTGCCATTCTAACTGGTGTGAGATGCTATCTCATTGTGGTTTTGATTTGCATTTCTCTGATGGCCAGTGATAATGAGCATTTTTTCATGTGTCTTTTGGCTGCATAAATGTCTTCTTTTGAGAAGTGTCTGTTCATATCCTTCGCCCACTTGTTGATGGGGTTGTTTGTTTTTTTCTGGTAAATTTGAGTTCATTGTAGATTCTGGATATTAGCCCTTTGTCAGATGAGTAGATTGCAAAAATTTCCTCCCATTCTGTAGGTTGCCTGTTCACTCTGATGGTAGTTTCTTTTGCTGTGCAGAAGCTCTTTAGTTTAATTAGATCCCATTTGCCAATTTTGGCTTTTGTTGCCATTGCTTTTGGTGTTTTTAGACATGAAGTCCTTGCCCATGCCTATGTCCTGAATGGTATTGCCTAGGTTTTCTTCTAGGGTTTTTATGGTTTGGGGTCTAACATTTAAGTCTTTAATCCATCTTGAATTAATTTTTGTATAAGATGTAAGGAAGGGATCCAGTTTCAGCTTTCTACATATAGCTAGCTGGGCAATGTCAACTTTGTAAATTAACTGAGACCTGTCTCAGATTTTGGGGGTTCACAAACTATACTCCAAGGATATAGTAACCAAAATATCATAGGTCTGGTACAAAAACCATGACACAAAAGCCAATGGAACAGATTAGAGAAGGTTGTAGGCTGCACTCCTACAACCATCTGATCTTTGACAAAGTCTATAATTAGAAGCAATGGGAACGGACTCCCTATTCAATGAATGGTACTAGGATAACTGGTTAGCCATATTCAGAAGATTTAAAATGGACAACTTCCTTCCAACTTATTAAAAAAATCAACTTAAGATAGATTAAAGACCTAAATGTAAAACCTAAAACTATAAAAACCCTAGACAAAAGCCCCGAACATAATATTCTGGACATAGGCAATAACAAGGATTTTATGATCAAGTTTCCAATAGCTATTGCAACAAAAACATAAATAGACAAGTGGGACCTAAGTATACTAAGGAGACTATGTTCAACAAAAGAAACTATCAGCATAGTAAACAGACAACCTACAAAATGGGAGAAAATATTTGCAAACTATGGATCTGACAAAGGTCTCATATCCAGAACCTGTAAGGAACTTAAAAAAAATTTTAAGCAAAAACTAAACGACCTCATTGAAAAATGGGCAAAGGACAAGAACAAACACTTCTCAAAAAAGACATACATGCTGTCAACAAGAATATGAAAAAATGCTCCATTTCAAAAATCACTAATCATTAGAGAAATGCAAATGAAAACCACAATAAGATATCATTTCATACCAATCACAATGGCTACTAATAAAAAGTCAGAAAATAACAGATGTTGCTGAGGTTGCAGAGAAAAGGGAAATCTTATACACTTCTGTTGCGAGTGTAAATCAATTCAGCCATTGTATAAAGCAGTTTGAAGATTTCTCAAAAAACTTAAACAGAACTACCATTTGGCGCAGCAATCTCATTACTGGGTACATACACAAAGAAATATAAATTGTTCTACCAAATGACACATGTACTTGTATGATTATCACAGCACTATTCACAGTAGCAAAAACATGGAACCAACCTAGAGGCTCATCAGTGGTGGACTAGAAAAAAAAATGTGTACCACCTGACGTGGTTGCTCACACCTGTATTCCCAGCACTTTGGGAGGCCGAGATAGGTGGATCATTTGATATTAGGAGTTTGAGAAAAGCCTGGCCAACATGGTGAAACACCACCTCTACTAAAAATACAAAAATTAGCCAGGCATGGTGGTCCGTGCCTGTAGACCCAGCTACTTGGGAAGCTGAGGTGGCAGAATAGCTTGAACCTGGGAGGTGAAGGTTGCAGTGGGCCCAGATTATGCCACAGCACTCCAGCCAGGGTGTCAGAGTGAGACTCTATCTCAAAAAGAAAAAAAATTGGTACATATACACCACGAAATACTGCATAGCAACAAAAAAAACAATAAAATTATGGCTTTTGCAACAAAATGGATGTAGCTGGAGGCTACGTCCCACAAATTAGGCAAATTAACACCAAAACAGAAAAAGAAAGCATATATTATCACCTCTAAATGAGAGATAAACATTGGCTCCACATGGTCCAAAACAGGGACCAATAGATACCAGGGCCTATGTGAGGGTAGAGGGTGGAAAATCCGTGAGGACTGAAAAATTACTTATGTCTATCAGGTACTATGCTCACTACCTCAGTGACTAAATTGTTTTTTCCATGAAACCCCAGCAACATGCAATTTACCTACATAACAAAGCTGCACATGTACCCCCTGAACCTAAAATATAAATTAAAAAAGAAAAAAATGAATATCAATAAGATACTTAGTAAACACACAAGTGTTTGGAAATCAAACAACAAACTTCTAAATAATTCACAAAGAAACATCAAAATAAAATTTAGAATACATTTTGAATTGAAAGATAAACATCTGAAGTGCTGAAAGAATAGAGATGGCTTTAGTCTCGAAACTTATGTATAAAAACATTGAAATTTCAATCAGATGGTAATTGGTATGTGATTTGATAATCTATTTTAAAGTTTATACAAAACTGAGAACCCGGCTAGGTGCGGTGGCTCACGCCTGTAATCCCAGGACTTTGGGAATCAGAGGTGGGTGCAACACGAGGTCAGGAGTTCAAGACCAGCCTGGCCAAGATGGTGAAACCCTGTCTCTACTAAAAATAAAAAAATTAGCCAGGCGTGGTGATGGATGCCTGTAATCCTGGCCACTCAGGAGGCTGAGGCAGAAGAATCAATTGAACCCGGGAGGCAGAGGTTGCAGTGAGCCAAGATCGCACCACTGCACTCTAGCCTGGGTGAGAGAGCAAGGCTTCATCTCGAAAAGAAAAAAAAAAAATTGAGAACCCAGATAAAAATAGCTAACTTTATTCTCCAAAAGACAAAAGAATGACAGTGAGTAGACGTCTGCTTCTATTGGCTATCAGATAATCTTATAACCCTGCAGTACTGTGATGGTATGAAGCACATCCACAGCAGTAGTGTGACAGTCAGGTATCAAAAAAACAAGAACTTCAGAGAAGACAAATGTAACGTTTGAAATCAGTAGAAAGAAGTATTGCTTTGAGAAAGTTGGTTATTATTTGGAATTTGAAGAAATAAACAATAAATTTCAAATAACTTAAAGAATGAAATAAAAAATAAAATTAACACTACAAGGAAGTTTTTAAAATATTCATGCCTTTTCCTCATGACATGATATACAAATATCATGAAGTTAAAGATAGACAAATTTTACTAACTAAACAAACTCATTTTTAGCAAACAATTGATAAATACCATTAAAAGACAAATAACAAATTAGAAGAAAATATTTACATGGTATATATAACAAAAAATTGATATTCAGAATGTATAGAGATTATCAAATAATAAAGAACTTGCAAATCCCAGTGGGAAAATGAGCAAAGAATACAAAGAGGAATTGCACAGAAGAAAAAGTATGCATTATGTATTAACAAATGAAAAGTTGCTTCATCTGTGTAATGGCCAAAATGTATGTTAAAATATAAGACAGCATTTCTCCCATCTCATTGGTAAACTAAAAAATACATATGCACTTCATAAATTCATATGTCACTTCAGCATTTTTACAATTAATATCACTTTTGTTATTCTTAAAAAGTTGAAAAATTAAATGAGTTAAAAGCAGTATGAGAGAAATTATTGCAAATATGTGTATAATATTGTTAGGAGAAACCCAAGTAAGACCCCAGAGGCGTAAGTTTAAATGAAGACTAATTAGTTGATATATATAATAATTTAAAAATATTCTGTACATTATAAAACTCACAAAACAAAAGGCAAAAAAATCAAGAAAAAATAATTTCAAAATAAATGCCACAACACAGCTTCCTGTGGTCAAGATTACTCTCCATTCTACTGTGACGTCTAAATAGATTTGTGGGCATCTAGACTAATATTGGGTTTGTATACTCCCAGAAAATTCAAGACTAGTAAATGCACCCAACCTTACAACCCTGAAGCATATTATCACATAGGGGTCTTGTGTAGTTTGCTAAAATGTAATGTACTACCTGTCACAGAATGAGCACTTAACTGATGTTGCGTGTGATGTAGCATAGTAGCAAAAAACTTTAGAATTAGGCCACAATATTTTTAAGGGCTTTGCATGACCAATTATTTTTTGGCACTTAATTTAAAAAAATCTGCATGCTTATTTTAATTTTGTCATTACTTGCCATTGTATCCATCTCAGGACACTGATCAAATAATCACAAAAATCACAGAGATGATACTCTGCTAATTAAGCAAGTTTTCTTTTTTTCTTTGTGAAACCATTCTTCATTTTTTTTTTGGTATTTAGAAATAATTTCTAGTTCTAATTTATTTTCAGTGAAATTTTGCACAGATTCTCCAAATAAAAAACCAAGAATGACCAATTTTATTGGGAAAATACTAAATGTAACAAACTTTATTTTTTGATAAGTGAAGACTTTCTAATTTTGCTTAAAAATTTTAGGTTTAGCCTTAGGTAATAAAATTAATAGAGAGAATGTTTACTACCATACATAAATTCAAAAGACTTGTTAGTTTAGATTGTCAATTTAATGTTGATCAAAGTTGCTTGAAATTTTCAGATAAAATAACTTTAGGTAAGCTTAAGAAAAGTTTGATTGCATTTTGTTTATAATCTTGTACTTCTATTTTCATTCTGATTTAGTAGGCTGCATACTTTTTTAAAAAAAATTTCAGGTGGATTGTGGCCATTCCTTTTCCTCTTAAGTCTTATTTGATTGCTCTTCCAGAACAAATATTAACATTTGCAGTGCTGCATCTGGATCAAGCTGTTTGGTTAGAGAAATTTAAACCTTTAAATCACAAAACAGCTTATTTTCAATTGTCATAGCTGACATTGAATCTATGCCTGATGATGTAAGCAATGTGGATATTGGAATGTCTCTGAGTTTTATATTAATAAATTTACTAGCTAAATAAGTGATGTAATCATCGGTTGATGTCTGAGATGAAGAGTGAGTAAAAACCACATAAAAATCTTCCATAAAACTAAACTTATCTTGGAATTCTTTGTAAAAATAAATTCTGTGAGACGGAACTTTGGAAAGTTTTCCTGTAATTTCTTGAAATCAAATTTAACAGTGCATGGTAGTCTGAACATTCGGCATTCTCCTTTCTGTATAAAAAACATCACTATTTCAAGGCCAGAGAGCCCCCTTTACATGGCTTGTTAAGAATTCTTCAAAATCCAGCATGATTCAAGATACTGATGGATTTTGGGTATTTGAAGAGAATTCCTCTGGTGGCTAAAATGCTTTGAAGATCATTTGTGCAGCAGTCATTCAAGATGAAAGGCTCCCTAGTTAATTGTCCAGTGAGATCACAGTTCCTGTGATAGTGGCAGAAGATGTCCAGCAAGGAGTTAGCAGCAGCCTCGTTGGCTTTTGCTGCATTCTCAATGAAAGCAGAAACTAATGAATAACACTCAAAGTAACCAAGTTCCTGCTTTCTTGTCAAAAATTGAAGATGTACTGCTCCAGCTACTTTGGGGCTTAACACTTTCTCCAATTAAGAAGAGATGTTGAGAGCTTCTAGGACTCAACATCTAGAAGCCCATCATCCAAGACTGTGGCACTAAAAAAACACACCTGAGATTTTATTCTGCAAAGTTATTTTCTATTGAATTC